>NC_000003.12:81828181-82131212 GCF_000001405.40 Homo sapiens
TGCTTCATCAGTACAGTGATCATTTGCACATATGAAAATCATTGTGAGCATTGGTGCAGATTATAGGGGCAAGCACTGAGCACGGGGAGATTTATAGCTAACTGTTGTGTTTTAAGATGTGATGGGAGGTTGTTCTCAGAGATCAAGTGTTTGTTTATTAGTAAGTGGAGGTCAGCTAGAATATGACAGCACCACCTCTGGTTTCTCCAGCAGTGATGGCTGGCAGATTTGAGAGTAAGGGGTTGGCATGGCTGTTCTCTTGCCCTTAACAAATTTAAACCACCTATTTCCTTCGTTTTTCTGCCTCTTAGACTAGATTTTTCTGGAGTTCTGATGGCAATACTCACTTCATAGCAAATCTCTCTTTTTCCTATATGGCACTAATGGTTATTTAGATCTGTTAAATTTTCCCATTGGTTTCCAACTCTTTGGTATATTCAGAAATTCTTTTGCTTTCTGGTTGGTACTTCTACGAATTTTTTCTAATTTTCTAACGCTTATTCTTTCTTTCCAGTGGGAATTTTTATGGGGAGAGGGAGAGGTAAAGTCTTGTGCTAGTCATCTGTCTTGAGCTGGAACACTTTAAAATGATTTTCTTTCTATTATATTGTCCTTTAAAAACCATACATTGTTACAATGGAACTTTCTTTTTACTCCCCTTAAAGCATATTTGACTACAGCCACCAAAGAAATTTATTTCCAAACTTTTGGTTGATTTAATCCCTCAACAGAAGAAATTCGTTTTTGTAGTTGAATATGCATTGTTCATTCATTCATACATTCATCAAATACTTGCTCAGCCCCTCTTAGATATTGGATTATGAAGAAATATAGACACAGTCTGGCCAGCGGCAGAACTATACTCCAATGTGCAAATAAGGTTTTCTTTATTGTTTTCTTTATTCTTCCAGAAGAAGAGTGAATCTGTTTTTACCTTTCTGCTAATTTAACTTATTAGCATAGCATATGTTTACTTTATGTTTAAAAAATTGCTTACTATTTGTACAGTAAAAATCTTCATTTTAACTTTGCAACCACTAAAAAAGAATACCAAAAGAAGTGTGAAGCCAGGTGCAGTGGCTCACACCTGTAATCCCAGCACTTGAGGAGGCCGAGGCAGGTGGATCATTTGAGGCCAGGAGTTAGAGACCAGCCTAGCCAACATGGTGAAAGACCATTTCTACTAAATATACAAAAACTAGCCAAGCGTGGTGGTGCTTGCCTGTAATCCCAGCTACCTGGGAGTCTGAGGCATGAGAATTACTTGGACTAGGGAGGCAGAGGTTGCAGTGAGCCGAGATTGCGCCACTGCACTTCCGTCTAGGAAATAGAGTGAGACTCTCTCAAAAAAAAAAAAAAGGATAGAGGAAGCATTTTGGAATACAGATATGTTCATGATCTTGATTGTGGTGATGATTTAATGGGTGCAAAAATTATCTAATTGTACATTTTAAATATATGCAGTTTATTGTATGTCCATTATACCTCAATTAAAATTGTTTTTTAAAAAACAAACAAAAAAACAAAACAAAACAAAACAAAAAGAATACCTAAGGTGAAATATGAAGCTTCGAATACAACAGAAAATTAAACTGATGTTTTAATTTCACTGTCAATAATACCATGCATCTTCTAGATATTCTCACAGGATTGTTGCCTTCATGTAGGATACAACTGATGGGCCTTTAATACAAGTGGCTGTTTTAGATTAAATGATCTGAATTTATCCCTTACAGGTCTCTCAGGACATTTAGAGTTAAAATGCATATTGCCTGTATTGAAAACAGATCTTCATGATATTAGACTAGGAAGAAATTCCAAAATAGTTTATGAAATTCCTCTTCTGCAGAGACTATGGAGTCATCTTTGTTCTTATATGTCTGCTGTAATTTAAATGTGGTTGTCCTTGAGGGTCAAAGACAAGACAAAGTACCCTGCCAAGCTTCCATTTAACTTTATGACCTGTGGACAGCTAAGCTTAGTCATCCCCAGTAAGTGAAGTGTTTGTGAAAATGACACAATACACAGGAAGCTGCATGTGCAATATGGAATTGGAAATGGAACATGGAAACCAGGTGAGGAGATGGCTTATTGATCCTGGAAATCTGTGCTTTTCAGACTAGGACATGCATGACCACAGAGGTACAGAATGTTATGCCAGGGAACATTTGAAGTTGTAGAATACACATAATCCATCTTCCTACCATGTTGATAGTCATAAAATAATTAGAGAAAAATATTTTGTATTTAATTTTCTTTCTATTATAACATATAGTTGTATTGTAGAGTAAAACCCACAAATTTTTGCATTAATTAAAAAAATAAGACATTAGATTTCAAAATAAGTTTGGGCTAATTTGGACTAATTTTCTCTAATGATGCTCCCGGGGCACCTGTTACCTCTCCTCTGCTATAATTTGTTGGAGATGGTCATAGAGCTCATCTGTAGGTGAAAACGTATGATCTAAAATGCTGGCTTCATTATGCAGATTATTGTCACAGTTTGAGTAACAATAGTTTTTAATGCTAGTGGTTAATTTATCTAGCTATTTAATAAAAAAAATTTGCTTTGAGACTAGCCTATTAAAAGCTGATCTTTTAGATCTTCGAAAAAATTGAGCCATAAACTAGCCTCATTACTATATATTTATTGGGTATTTGTTTTGATGGATTAAATAATAACATCTGTTTAAAAGGTAATTGCCAAAGTACATCAAGCATGCAAAATTGTCCTTCGCACCTTTATTAGATTACACTACGGGTAGTAAGTCACCAGCCTAGCATCTGCAGCTTTTCTTCTCCACACTGATTGTAACCAATCACTCTTTTTTCAAGTGTGAGCCTCCAAGTTATCATCTCAAGGCTGTGAAAGCTGAATCTCTACATGTTACTAAAATATTCTGAAACTCACAAAGAAGTTGGAGATAAAGTGCATGCATATTAAAATTACTCAAATGACAGCTTTATTTTTAGCTAATTTTCATTTATGGATGTCTCTCAATTTTCTGTCTGAACAAAGATAGACAAAGGCACAAATTCAGGTGATCTTTTTCCATTTCTGACATTTATTTTAGAGATCTCTGCAAATAGAGAAATCTATCAATATGGCTCCACCTTGTTAACCTCACACCTTTTCCCACCGAGAGTATCTAACATTTAAGCCCAGGGCCAAGGCCAGCACGGGGTCTGAAGGGAGAGCAGGCACATTCTTTTTCTCACTTCTCCTGTTTCTTCTTTGTCTTCGCCTTAGAAGACCACTGAGAAATAAATGTTTATTTACTTTCCAGTTTTCCTTTTATTCCTGTGGGGGACATCAGACAGATGAATCTATTGTAGTTCTGGTATTTCTAAGCTTTTGACAGCAAATGAAAGTACAGAGATGTTTACTGTTCCACCTAGTTCATATTTAAGCAGCCCTGCAATCATGGGCTCAATAAAAATAACTTCAAGTATGAATTTTGGAATACTTGACTTGAAATCATGAATCAAAAACCTGTAAGTACTTGCTCAAGGTCTGAGAAAAATAAAAAAGTACTGTAAAAGTGACTATTATTCAAACCTTAGAGTCGGAAGACAATGTACACGTCAACCCTTCTCAGCAGTTCTGAATTCCTTTTACAAAACCCGTATCTAAGGTCATTCCACCTCTTCTGGAACATTTTTATGGAAAAACTATCTATTTGGATACTTTCAGTGAAAACTCATTGCCCCAAATAGCTGCCACATTAATCATTTTCACTGTTAAAAAGTCTGGGCTTAAAATTGATCCTAAATTTGCCATCATATGTTTATATCTACTGGTCCTGGTGATGCCCTCTGGAATAAAATACTAAAGTCTTATCCTCCCCCTTGATGTATCTTTGAATATTTGAAGGAATCATGTCTTCCATTAATCTAGTTACTTGTTGGAGCTGGCTTATACCAGGTTACAAGAGCCAATTTTTAAATTTTCCAGAAATTTGCAAGCGGTTGTTAAACTGGTCATTATTAAAAAATAAATTATGTAAATTTCCTGTTAATTAAATTATATTAAAAACAAAGATGATAAATATAGCTCATTATACGCTAACTATTTTACCACTATCTAAGACTAAGGTTATTTATACCTATATCTGAATGGTAGTAATAGAAACATTATATATTGATTGCTACATGCTATAGACTGAATATTTATGTCCTTCCCAAATATATAAGTTTAAAACCTAATCTCCAAAATGATGACATTAGGAGGTGGGGCCTTTGAGAGGTGGTTAGGCCTTGAGGGCAGAGCCCACATTAATGGAGTTGGTGCCCTTATGAATAAGACCCCAGACCGGGCGCAGTGGCTCACACCTGTAATCCCAGCACTTTGGGAGGCCAAGGCAGGCAGATCATCAGAGGTCAGGGGTTCAAGACCAGCCTGGCCAACTTGGTGAAAACCCATCTCTACTAAGAGTACAAAAATTAGCTGGGTGTGATGTTGCGCATCTGTAATTCTAGCTACTTGGGAAGCTGTGGCTGGAGAATCACTTGAACCCGGGAGGTGGAGGTTATAGTGAGCTGAGATCGTGCCACTGCACTCCAGCCTGGGCGACAGAGTAAAACTTTGTCCCCAAAAATAATAAAATAAAATAAAATGAATAAGACCCCAGATAGTTCATTTGCTCCTTCACCATGTGAAGAAAAAATAAGATGGCCACCTATGAAGCAGAAAGTAGGCTCTCACCCAACACTGTATCTGCCAGTGCCTTTATCTTGGGCTTGCTTGCTTGCTTGCTTGCTTGCTTTCCTTCTTTCCTTCCTTTCTTTCTTTTTTCTTTCTTTCCTTTTCTTCTTTCCTTCTTTCTTTTCTTATCTTCCTTTTCCTTCCTTCCTTCCTTCCTTCCTTCCTTCCTTCCTTCCTTCGCCCTTTCTCTCTCTCTATTGCTTGCTTGCTTGAGATGGAGTCTTGCTCTGTCACCCAGGCTAGAGTGCGGTGGCACAATCTTGGCTCACTGCAACCTCTGCCTCCCGGGCTCAAGCAATCCTCCTGTCTCAGCCTTCTGAGTACCTGGGACTATAGGCACACACCACCATGCTCAGCTAATTTTTTGTAATTTTCATAGAGAAGGGTTTTTGTCATGTTGCCCAGGCTGGTCTCAAACTCCTGAGCTCAAGTGACCCGCCCACCTAGGCCTCCCAGAGTGCTGGGCCTAAAAATAAATATCTTTTCTTTAAAAGCCACCCAATCTATGGTACTTTGTTATAGCAGCCTGGAAGGACTAAGACACTGTAGTACTGATTATTTCTTCCCAACCCTGTGATCAGCGATGTCATCCTGATGGTTGGAAAGTGGCTATGGTTGGAGAATTTATACCATGGAAATTAACAAACACTAAAAATTAGTACTTCTACTTTTCTCTTTTTTTTTTGTTTTGGAGAGCTAGTTGTTGAACATTTCTCAGCACACTACTTTCCAATCTCTTATCTAGCCTAAAAATCTTATGCAGTTTCTTTTATTATCTGATAATCTCTCAAAATTCATTTCTCTGTGATTTTATGAGCAGCTCCACTCTCCAACATACCCTCCTCCAGAGGTCTGTCAGTTTCTCTTAGTATCTAGAACCTAAAACAAAATTCTCAACACTCAGTAGAAGAATTCCTACTGATGATTAGGACATTATTATTTTTTACAAGACCTAAGGAAACAGTTATTGTTTTTAAATAGTGTGTAGGTGTTATACATACATAAAAGACTAAAAATATAGATTTCTACACCTACCACCAAGATCTTTGAGAGACTCTAATGACATGCATAAAAAAGTACCATGAAAAACATAATGTTACAGAAATATAAATGATTATTAGAATTTATTGTTATTATAGCAACTGTGTGCAGGTCACAGAAAATAGTATTTCCACTATGTGTTTCAATAATCAGAACAAATGTCAAATATTGTTCTCAGTCTTGGTGTTTTGTTTTCATAACAACATGGATAAATGAGGGGAAGTCTTCAGAAGTGTGTCCAGAATGGCAAGGTGTCTTGTTTTGATTCTGTTATTCTATCACAGGCATAGCTTTCTAACTATGTTTTAGTTAAATTAATACTAAAATTTGTTTACATTATCTGTAAAAATATTATTTCATAATTAGGTAACATACACATGAATATCTGAGAGTGATTCTGTAATAAGCCTGCTTTCTACCAATTTTTTAAATTTAGCTAAGTAACCCATTATTAAAATTAGTTTCATTTTCCACCTTCATATTTTAAAAATAATCTTCCATATTTTCAAGGAAAAGAGAAAACCCCAAATCTTTTTTTTTCTTTTATACTTTAAGTTCTAGGGTACATGTGCACAACGTGCAGGTTTGTTACATATGTATACATGTGCCATGTTGGTGTGCTGCACCCATTAACTCGTCATTTACATTAGGTGTATCTCCTAATGCTATCCACGCCCCTCCCCCCACCCCATGACAGGCCCCAGTGTGTGATGTTCCCCACCCTGTGTCCAAGTGTTCTCATTGTTCAGTTCCCACCTATGAGTGAGAACGTGCGGTGTTTGGTTTTCTGTCCCTGTGATGGTTTGCTGAGAATGATGGTTTCCAGCTTCATCCATGTCCCTACAAAGGACATAAACTCATCCTTTTTTATGGCTGCATAGTATTCTATGGTGTATATGTGCCACATTTTCTTAATCCAGTCTATCACTGATGGACATTTGGGTTGGTTCCAAGTCTTTGCTATTGTGAATAGCGCTGCAATAAACATACGTGTGCATGTGTCTACAGCAGCACGATTTATAATCCTTTCGGTATATACCCAGTAATGGGATGGCTGAGTCAAATGGTATTTCTAGTTCCAGATCCTTGAGGAATTGCCACACTGTCTTCCACAATGGTTGAACTTCCACTGTTGGTTGCAGTCCCACCAACAGTGTAAAAGTGTTCCTATTTCTCCACATCCTCTCCAGCACCTGTTGTTTCCTGACTTTTTAATGATCACCATTCTAACTGGTGGGAGATGGTATCTCATTGTGAAAAACCCCAAATCTTTTACAAATATGGACACCTAGACCTTTTGTAGCAGAATAAGAAATATCAAAACATATTCTTTCAAGTGCTATTATAGTTAATGAATACAATCAGGAATAATTAAGATGAAACAATATCCACAGAAGAGATTGTGTAATATAGAAAACAACTCATAGTACTATATACTACAGAAAGATAGGGACATGAGCTCTTTGGCAGAAATGAAATGAAGAAGACAGGGCAAAGGGTATTGAGAGTTGGGAGATGAGGCCACAAAGATATCATAAATGCTATGAAGGAATAGGCAACATACTTTGTCAGCAGGAGGAGCCACTCAAATTTTTTGTTTGTTTGTTTGTTTGTTTTTAGCAATTGAATAATCTGAAACAATTGTTTTACAAGATCACACTGGCAATATTGTGGGCTGAAGGCAAGGTTGCAGAGTAATTACAATGTAATAGCCAGACCAAATCATATGGCAGTTTTTAAGAGTGCCAGTGGAAGTTGAAAACAATTCAGACTTAGCAATCTACATAAAGATGGTAGCTAAAGCTATAAAACATAAGCATACAAACAAAATCACCAAGGGAATAAGTATAGAGAACATATAAAGTACAATGATCATAATCTTAGGAAGAAGGTAAAACAAATTTTAAAAGAGGCATTACAATGTCAAATGTCAAGAATGAGAAGCGAAATAGCATATATGTTTTATTTGAGCAGTATTCTCTATATACTTCTTCATAAATATTGCCATATTTTAATTAATATTTTGACTTGATTCTTTTCTTTGGATTTACTTAACCTATGTATTACTATTATAAATAGAAAAATCATAAATAGAAGATAACTATAAAATAAATAGAAAACTACTAATAACAAATTAGAGAATATTGTATGTCACTGAAAATTGACTTCTATACAATCAGTGGTTCATGTACTACATTTTGGGAAATTCGAGACTAGGAGAAGCCACTCTTGATATATAGAGAATACTTAATGGAGTTGAGATTTAGGGAAAGAAATTAAATTGTTTGGGAGCTGGTTTGCTCTTGAAGTGAAATGTAGGACCAAGAATGTGGGGGGTACCTTTGAGAAACAAGAACTGAGGGCCTCCTGATGCTGAAGCATAGAGTTTGGACATTTGCATCAGAACCTCTGAGAGAGGGAACTTTTTTTTTCAAGCATGTTGTAAAAATTTTGCATTTCATATAGTGGTATGTCTGATACAACTAATAATAATAATTTTCCACCACCACTGGGAGATATGTCTTCTTGAAAAGTGTCTTTTGCTGAACAAAAACAAAAAAAAGCTGTTCCAATAGAAGACTAAACAAGTCAATCTATAGTGTAAAGCAGTAGTTCAAAATTTAATTTAATCGCATTGCATGAAATTGGTTTTCTTTATGTAATATCAAAGAATGCAATTAGAAATAAGGAAATTTTTCCAAATCACCATTTTTTTTTCATTTTAAACACAATTTGCTTTCCATGGGAAAATAACCTCTCCTTTCATGGTTGTTTGTAAAGTTGAAAGAAGAAGAATCTTTCATGGCAAGAAGATATGCTGGAATGTACATGTCCTCCCAAATGTTAAAAACTTACTTTGACTTGCAAAGAAATTGTCTTCATACAATGAAAACCTCTCAGGAAGTCCAACTGCTTATTTGTTTGTTCTTTCAAGCGAAACAAATCATCATTAAAAAGGTTCAGCTTCAAATTAAGACCTTTTAGAAGCTTAGAGGAACTTGCTCACAAAGGTTCAAATCCCTTAGAAAATGGCTCATTGCTGTCTCAGAAAGAGAGAAAAATAGTTACTGATGAGATTCAAATTATTCTCTATCTTCTCTTTCATTAATTTTAAACATAATTCATAGGCCATTATGCTTTGGAAATCAAAAGAATTATTCCTCATTGTAGCCCACCATTTTTCATCATTATACACATACAATGTCCAATTTCACCTCACTCATTCAAAATGGTGCTTAAAGCAGGCAGAAAAGATTAACTCCAATACTTATATTTGGCTTTAATTCATAGTTTTATAAAGAGTTTTACTGGTCTAAATATGTATTTACACAATAGAATATGATGAGTCATTTATAAAATGTAAACATACTAGTTTTAAAAATTGCTTAAATGTGTATTCTGCCTGAGATTTCCTCAGGATATTCCTATGAGATTCATAGCAACAAACTCCCTTGTGTTTGAATAACGCTACTTCTCCACACATTACAAATAATAAGTGTGAGCAAAGGGTAGAGATACCTCTCAAAGCAGTCAAAATATTTTAATCCTTCATCTTTCTTCATGTTGAACAGTCACGGAAGCACCGCCTCTCATTTCACATAGAATCGCCGTCAGTCTGTTCTGACTATGCTTTTAATAGTGTCAGCGGGTTGCTGTTTAAAGCCTCTAATAATCAAACACCTGGGCAGCTGTTTCAGAGAATAATAGTGTTCTCTTTCTATAAAGACAAATACAGCTCAGCACAGTGGATTTTTTTCTTGGCTAGACAAGCATTTCACTATTTCATAAGTCTCTCTTTGCTTTTAAATGGTCTGTTGCACATTAAAAAACACTTGAAATATTATTTCCTGTTGCTAGTGAGGATGATGATGAATATCATTTTGGGGCCAGTGTCAATGTCATCATATGTCTGAGGTTGGTATCTCTGTATTAACATGCCACTGCCAGTTCTGATTCCTGTCCAAGATGAGGTATAATAAAACTCTAGTCTCCCGCACAGCCTGCTCTGAGTGAATTACTCTTTCTCTATTGCAATTCACCTATCCTGATGAATTGGCTTTGTCTAGGCAGAAGGCAAGATGAACCCCTTGGGTGATTACAGTTCTTCTGATTATCCAACTTTCCCTTTTGGATCTCCACTACCTTCGCTTTTCTCACAAATGTGTGAAGTCTGATTCCCATGATAACTCCCTTATTCCATCTCTATAAAGGTTTCACTTCTCTTATTGAATATTGAGTGATAAGAAATCAGTACCTGAACCTGGATGCTACCAAAACAGAAACTAAACCATGAGACTTTGGAGCAAGGAGTGAGCATCAATAATATTTATAGAAAACTCACAAAGTTTTAAAGGGAACTTTACTACAAAACATACCATGTAGTTGAACCCAAAAGGACAGAGACAGTTCAAGTTAAAAAGAAGGTTTTGGGCCCCAACTTTACAGAAGCAGGAAGCAGGTTGACGTAGTTTCTCAAATGAAAAGATGGGTCATTTTTTAAGGAAAAGGAAAGATATCTCAGAAGGAGGTGCTAAGACTCCAGAGCTGAGAACAATGGATTAAGGAATTACTCCTAGAGAGCAGAATTAGTGTCTAATCAAGAAACAGTTTTTGCTTCTGATGGATTTGGGGAAACCAAAACATGTTCCCAGCTGTATTTTGTTTTATTTTCTTTGTCCTTTTCTCTTTTCTTTTTCCTTCCTCCTTTGTTTGCCTGCCTGCTGTTTTGGAATTGCTATGAACTCATGACTGTGATTCCCAGTTCCCCTTTTCTTTGCACAGAAGTATCTCTTGCAGTTATTATGTTCCCGTCTTGCTATTCAATGTTGCTTATTTAAAGGTTAGATAACTTATATTTTTAAGTTCAAAGTTCTTTAGGCTAAAAGGAGGTCCATCTGATGAGCCTCATCCATATCTGTGCCTAGCTTAAATCATAAGATCTTGCATTTTGAGTCAGAGTCAAATGATAATAATGTGATTAGATAAAACTTTGGGGATCTTTTCAGAGCAGTATTATGCCCATTATTATATTTTGAACACTTCATTTCTAAAAAATATTGAAGTAATTAAAAAAAATAAGGTAGGGAAACCTAAAGCCTTAAAAGAAAAGACATGGAAAGTATAACTTTTATACTGTGGGAGAAAAGGACTTGTTAAACAACAGCTAAAACAAATTAAAAGGATCCAATACAGTAAAACTACCAAAGTGTCATCGATGGTTTTCATGTCAGTGCTAAGTGAATAAACTTTTTAAAAAGCATGGAATAGAAGCAAAGTGATAAAGTTTACTTCAGAATAGAAGATCAGCTATACTCTAGCTGAGGATTTTACATTTGAAACTGGTTGTTTGGTGTCTTAGTACCTCAGTGACTCTGGAGTATGTAAATGATAGACATAAGGAAATAGGAGGGGAAGAGATAGACTTTATAGATACCACTAAAAAAGCAATAATGAGGAATGACTTAACAAAATTCAAAGGTTTCAGATCATTTGAGAGCCTGAAACAGCAGATGGCAAATATAGTTCAATTCAGACAAACATTAAAAAAGATGCGTAGCAATAGAGAACTACAAACGAGGGCTGTGGAAACACATTTCAATGGACTAATCATCCAGCACACCAACCAGAAAATATTTGAAAACTTTTAAGTATCAGCTTAGTGCAAAGAAACTGTCTTCTAAGATGAAGGGCAGAATAAAAATAGTGTTTTAAGTTTCTAGTCTTAACTCATGGGGGAGGGGAAGGAGTAGGGATAAGAAAAAAATACTTAGATGTAGGAAAAGATAATGATACTTTGTGAAGCATGAGACTCTTAGTCACAAACTGCAGGAGATTTAATTTCCTCTACGGAAATAAAAAAGCATTTTGGTAGGTGTGTTAACTTATTTAATAGGGTACAAATTTTTAGTACCTTATGTAAGATGGCATCTAAAAATAGCCAGGGGAATTTTTCCCAAGTGGAAATAGATTGTGTAGTCTGTAAACTACCAGTTGTTTATGCTGATAGTCTTAGGGACAAAGGAGGATTCCTACACATTTATATGGCTGAGTCGGCTGCAGTGTTTCCCCCTTAATATAAGTATCCTGTTACATGTGATTTTGTATTGAGGTAGTCACTTCTCATAGAAAAAGCTCAAGGGGAATCTTGAAGCCTTCGTCGCTACTCTGTTAACAAAAATCTCATTAGGCTGTTCTTCCACAATTTACCCAGGACAACCAAGTTTGTCCCTCTAACTAGAGCATCTTTAATATGTGGTTAAGTTGACAGTCCAAAAAAGATGATGCAGGCATTCAGGGGAAGCTAAGTACTCAATTTGGTTGGGAAACCCTATGTATTTGGAGTTAAGTGCAGAGTTCCTGGAGAACAAAGAAATAATCTTTATTCTCCACATCACTCAGGGTTCTTTTGCAATTTCAGCAATATATGGCTAAAAATTATTTTTACTCTCAACAAATATTTTGGAAGAAAATGGGACAAGTTTATACTCTTATCCTTCTTTAGAGAGAATTTTGACACTGGTAAGAATATTAGTTATGTGTTCCTGAATTAACCTATGATGTCATAGTGCATTTGGGTGTGGTGTTTTGGTACTTAATCTAAAACTATCCTATCAGGAGTATCTAGAATTAAGACACTGAGTGGGAAGAGAGATACAAATATGTCCATAGAAATATGGAAGGTTTTAAGCCAGAAAATCCTTAAATGAAGGTCTGTAGCAGTATCTCTCCAGATATTTAAAAATACAATGATCACCAAAATATGCTATAAATGTTTAAAATGGACTCCTATCGAAAGTTCAGAGGTTAAAGATGATGTTGTTTATGGTACTCCTAGAAATTGATTCTTCTTTATTTTTTCTTTTCGTTGAGTTTAATTGCCACTAGAATTATTTTCAAGTTAAGAAGATAAGAGGATTGACTTTTTAAACTTCAAAATGAACTTCCCTGCTGTGACTGACTATATTCCCCAGTATGGAGAATTGTAAGTTTTCACAATGAAATCATAAACTTTTAGTGTACTTTTACTCTCTGCTTTATGCTTCATTCATCTGCCATATAGGAGCATTCTAGTTAGTGTACTGATAATAGCTTGCGTGCTTACCACGTACAGTTTTAAACTTATTACTTATCATATAGAAACTGAAATGCTATATATGCTTTAAAATATATTCTTATCTAAAAAATAATAAAAATAATTGATGACAAAAAATCTAATTTTAGGATCTTTAAATAAGATATATTTGGGATTACTATACAGAGATTATCTATTTAATTTAAAAAATAAAGTTAGCTAAAAATTTTTTTAGTAAATTTCTCTTTCCTTCAGTTGGCATATAGGTTCATGTAAACATTGCTTCCCCAATTGAAAAAGACCGTGTTTTTGACCTCACTAAACTTTTCCCCATTATAAAAGACCATGATTTTTATTTTCCTAAAAGCAGGTTTCCTGTCATTTATTTTTAAATTCTCTGTACCCAGCACAGTGCTTACAAATGGTAAGCTAGCAAATATTTTTAGAAGAAATACATGAATCATAATGTAGTACTTCCTAATGGTTTCAACTAATGGCATCAAATTTAAAATACATACCACCTAGAAATTAAACTCACTAAAATTTTTATTTTACTAAAGTATCATGTATATTCCACTCATATGAAAAGAGATAGAGGGTCACAAAAAATCAGAAAATACTAGGCAGCTACATTTTTGACAAGATCAAGAGTCACTGAACTCGTAGAGTAACAGGAAGTTATATTTAGAAGCAGACTTAAAATATGACAGTTCATGACATGATATTTATTAAGGAACACACTTCACATATGGGAGTTGGCTTTTTGCCCTAGTATGGCTTGCCTTACACCTCTTTTATATAGAACAAACAAAAGTGCTTTTGTACATGACATTGTGGCAGGGATTCTCAATTCGATTCTCTGATCTATTTATAAGAAAGGTTTTCTACTGCATAAGTTACCATGTCAATATTCATAAAAACTAAATATAAAATTGGTATCTGCAATGTATTGTTTCTAAAATCTTCTTCTTGATTTTTTTTTTCTTCTTTGATCATATCCCTAGCACTTACTTAATACTGTTTTCACGGACCACTGTCTTAATCAGTTCAGGCTGCTATAGTAAAATATTATAGACTGGGTGGTTTACAAACAATAGAAATTTATTTCTCACAGTTCTGGAGGTGATAGTTCAATATCATGGTCTCAGCATGGTCAGGTTCTGGTGAGTGCTCTCTTCTCAATTGTAGACTGATGACTTCTTGTTGTATTCTCACATGTTGTAAAGAGTGAAGAGCACTCTCTAGGGTCTCTTTCATAAGGGACCTAATCTAATCTCATTCATGAGGGCTCCATCCTCATGACTTAATTACCTCCCCAAGGCTCCACCTCCATATACCATCACATGGGATTAGGGTGAATTCTGTAGGGATACAAACATTCAGTTCAATGGAACCAACATCCTCATGCTCTCCTTGCCTGAGGGTAGAAATAGAAAAATGTCCAACAAAATATTTTCTCCTATTCTTTCATAGTAAATTTGTTGTTGGGCATGTAGCTGCCTAGCTAGAGACATTTCTCAGACTCTCTTCCAGCTAGATGTGGTCCTTTGGCTACATTTTCACTAATGGAATGCGACTAAAAGTGAAAATGACACTTCCAGCTATAGGTCTTAAAAATATTAGTCAAGCAAGTGTTTTTATACTTTCCCTTTCCTGTGAGCTGCAACATGGCCATTTCTGGGACTTAGCTACGGCCATACGGATGAGAACAACAGCCTTGTTGATGGCAGAATCACAATGTAAGGAACTTGAATCTCTGAATGACCTCATGGGGCAGAGCTGTCTGCTTACCTGGACTGCTACTTACATCTGTGACACAAGAAAGAATTAGAGTTATATTTTTTAACCTCTATACTTTGGACAGTTTTATTATAGCGGCTTAGTCTTCATCTTAACTAATCAGTTGGACCCAGCAAAAGTTTTAACTCATCTTAGTCCAGGATGAAATCAAACTCATTATTTTACATGCTGGCACTTTTCCGTCCAAAATAAAAACAGATTTACTTTTATCTGTTGATTAGTGCATCATATTAAAGGTGATATGTTCATTTAAGCAGTGTTCATATGAAAACAATATTTAGTTTGTAGTGACTACTGAATAGAATTTCAGCCTATGTTGAGGTGAAAATGTTTAGGTTATTTAACAATAATCAGATGTATATAAACAGATTCCATCTTGTAAGATACTGAGAGTTCCAACATTACACAGTGCAGATGTCCAACTGAGTGCTGCTCTCCAACAGTGATACTAAAAGGTAAAAGCCAAAGAAAGACTTGGTACTTTTCATGGCCTTTACTTCATTTGTCCTAGAAGCTCCAGATGGTTGATGGTCTTCTCAACCTTGACATTATCCATCAGTTCTATTTTGCTTTGGGCAGTTGTATGAGTTATCATCTGCCTGACTTTAAGCAGAGAGGTATGAAGTTCAGTTAATAATATATGCATTCATTCAACAGATGGGTGATAGAGGAATGAATGAACATGTATTTACTTATTGAGTTTATCATGAGTTAGGCATTATTCTGTTAACCAGAGATTCAGCAATGAATCAAAGAGACAAGTTTTCTTCCCTGGTAGAACTTGTCTTTCAGTTGGCATAGAGAAGAGCACGTACAAGTAAACAAACAAGTCAATAAATAAGAAATATTTAGGTATTGATAAATAATATAAAGAAAATAATAGCAGGATGATAAATTAGAGAGCGACTCAATGGAGAGAAACAATCTTAGAAAGTGTGCCCCCAAATTTCCTCTCTGAGAAAGTCATACGGAGCCACATCCTGAATAACAAAGAGAGAGCAGACATTGGAAAGCTAAGGGAAGAGTGTTTTAGGCAGAGAGACCTCTGGCAATGTAGTCAAGTCCTTAGAAATCTTTACGTTCATTTTTGGTTGCCACATATATGCTATTTACCTAATGATCATCTAATAACAAATAACATGCTAGTGATATGAAATAAGAATCAAGGGAATTGATATTTCTATAGAGAGCAAAAACTGAAATATTCAGCCCTCTGTCTTCACTTGGTTTAGTATTAGATGCTATGTGAATGAGGTATGCCAGTTTCCTAACTGCTGGAAAAGGGTTATCATCTAAAATTGATTCAAACAAGGGATCTTGTTTATTATAATAGTTTATTTTACTTATACTATTTTCAGTGGGAAAATGTAGGCCCCATTAACTGTAATGTTGTGCTTGGCAGGTACCATTAGGAAGTAATTGGCTTTGACTAGTAAAATTTCATGAATTGTCGTGACTTTACTTTTAATTGAGTCCAAGAAAGAGGCTGGAATGATTGAACAATAAAAAGTTGAAGAGGTCTGTTGTTTTGATGTATCATCTAATAGATATAAATATAATTAAATAATATAGACAGTAACTTAGCAGAAGGAGGAAAATCGGAAGTTCCTCTTGAGCCATGCTTATTAGGAATCACTGAAAAAATACTGGAAATACATACACTGTTACTCTGTAAAAATTTCCAAAAACCTGAACTTTAGCTCTTCTGAGGATAAACCTATTAAAACATCACAAGAAATGTAATCAGTATCTTGTAGAAGCTAGTAAGGACAATTTCACTGCTGAGTAGAGTATCTGTGACCTGGAAAACAATATAAGGATTAAAACAATGACTCTCAAGAGTTATTTTAATAGGTTCAGGTAAATTGGAAATCAAGTATGCAATATGGCACTTACTTTACCTCTATATCCTGTCTGCAGTGCATGAAAATATCAAAATGATATTTGCAATAACACAACATGAGCCAATCTATGAAATGTAATGTCCCAAAAAAAGATTCAGCATGTCTGAACAAGAATACAATGAAGAAAAAGTTACTATAATTATGAAACTTGCGACCATCAAGCATCAAGTTACTTATGTTGTATACATTTGCTGCATCTTTTCTGTAAACCTTTAAATAAGCAATCTAAGAAAATAATTTTCTGGGAGATGACTGAGATAACCAGAGATAAGAAATTAAAATGAATTATTTGGCAGCCACTGTATAGTAACATCAGATTCAATCCTACTGTTGAAATTGCCTCTGTATTGTGAGCAGTTAGAAAACACTTTCTCAAATGATCAACATCTATTTCCAAAATTGTAGTTATGGATAATATGCATAGCTACAAATGATCATGGACTTCCTTCCAAGAATCAATTCAAGGAGAGGAATTCAGACAAATAGGTGCCTTTTAATAAGTCAAGTTCCAGCTGTGAACTTCAAGGCAATTATAAGAGAGAAACATAAAGAGTCCAGGCATAATACAAAATAAATAAGTCCTATAAAATTGGAAATTTGCAGGGTTCTAAATCTTTAGGAATCCACGGGATGTTCGCAAATGCATTTGGAGGGCAGGACTTTCAGAGCTAACATAAAATCGGACTCATTATCTTTCTGTAATTTAGTATTTCCTCTTATAAGAATTCTAAATAGAGGGTAGCTAGAATAGCTGAATTAATCAAAACTTCTTTTCCATCAAAAGTTCGTTACCAGCGCCCTTGGCTCTGTTCTCATCTCCTTCATGCCTGCACATCTCTCCTGCATGACTTCAAAGGCAAATCTCCACACAGGAGATAGGAATGAGAGGCTGGGGGATGAGAACCGGGCCACCTCTGTTAAAAGAGAGGCTTAATTAAGTACATATTTGAAGAGTGCCTTTCACATGAAAAAGCAGTAAGAAAACTCAGTACTATTAACACTGAACAAGAAGTGCCTGGTCCTGGGAGCAAAGCCTTACTGAGATTAAGGAAAAAGTTTATATTCTCCTCCTCCAGGCAAGCATTTTTCAATGGGGTTCTTTATTGATCTGTCATCCTAAGAGAGTCTGTAAATCTAGCATCTGCATATTGATTCCTAGTTGGTTTGGAAGAAGAGGAAGCAGAGAACAAAAGACACATCTTTCTTAAGTCAGAGTAAAACTGCATGCTTGCAAATGTGCACTCATTTCTCTGCAAAAGGACTTATAGTACATGTAAAATTTGGAGGCAAACACTTTTTGTGTGTGTAATGAGAAGATCTTAATTTTCATTTGTTACTTAGAAACTTAACTGGCATGATTTATTATTAAAATGACCAACGTTATTGTAACAGCATGTTAAGGCCAAACTGTTATTTAATGTCATACCCATAATTTAAAGATAAATCAAAGCATGGATAAATATTAACTGTGATTTATGCAATGTATTAAGAATGTTAGACAAAAGTTTTCATCAGAAATGAAAACTTGGCAGGTATATTCTAATGGTTCAAGTAGATGTACAGTCATTGGAAGTTTAGAGTGAGGCACCATATTTCCACAGATACAAAGTCCTGAAGTGAGATGCCAGGTCGAAAAACAAATCCTCTGAGAAAAATAACTGGCTAGAAGGCTCTAATTCCGATGATAAAAGGACTGAGTAAGAAAGTAAAGTAAAAATATATTTGCGAGAGATTTCCTTGAAAGGAGCTGGTGCTAGGCTCTAAATCTCACCACCCCTCTCAAAGGTGAGGACTGGGAATCCATCCTCCTCAACCTGAAACTTAGAAAGAGGAGCTTCATTGGGAGTATTTGGAAAGCTTGAGAAATGGCTCCGGAATTTAGGGAACTGACCTAATGTCTGACACATGTCCTGACATTCTTCAGGGGAAGGCCATGACTTCTGAGGTAGCATGTTCAAAAGAAAGAAGAGTCTGTTTGTATAATAATCACATTCCCACTAGTAACAGAGCAAAAGCTCATTTGCATTTCCTGTACACCAGATGTAGATGACAAGAGTGGGAGCACATTCTAGCAATCATGCTTGGCGGGACTTCCAGGATAGGCAATAGTACTCTAACTGCTAGTCTGTGTTGAAGACGACACTGTGGAAGTTAGAACTAAGGGAGAAGTAGACATCTGAAGGAAAGGTACTGAACAAGCAGTCACAGATGTTGTAGCCAGGGAAGGTTAGCTTCCAAGGTCTGAAAAAGCTTTGAACATCTGCCAGGCCAAGTTCCTATAATACCATCTTGTGATAATACCTGCCTAAGTGAAAGCTCCCTGTCTGCCTTTGGCCTCCAATCCTTTTAATTTACATGAACAGGTGAGTAGAGGAGGAGATGAGTTAGACAGAATGACCCATTCCCTCCATCCTCTACCACTGCAATGGCTACACTACAGTCAGGCTCTGATTGAAGAGGGGAAAAGTTCAAGGTTGTATTTTTGATTACTGTGGACCGAACAGTGTCATTTCTGAAACAAGACTATGCTTGTGACAGGAATGGAATGAGGAAACTTCAATTACCTAAAACCAACAAAAGGATCATGAAACCTTCAAATGTTTCATACAGTATTGGAAAACTACCTGCAATAGACACAATAAGAAAAAGTGGGTAAAAAAAATTAGTTTTGTCTTCAGTTTACCTTTGAATTGTGCTTATTAAAGGCAATAATAAGCCTAAAACCAATTGTTTTTTCAAAGAAACTGCAGCTAAGAAGCAGCTGGTTAAAATGGGACATATCTGTCATTTTGCTAGCTAATCAAAGTAATCACCATTGAACACAAACATTGTTATAAGTAAAAATACAAATTTCAAACTGAAGGGGATCGTAGTTGAATAAAAAATTCACCAAGGCCTTCAGCCATATCTTCAAAGATATTGAAGCAAGAATTAGTCTATTTATAATTGTACCTGTAAAGCCAAACTGTTATTTAATGTCATACCAATAATTTAAAGATAAATCAAAGCATGGATAAATATTAACTGTGATTTATGAAATTTATTAAGAATGTTAGACAAAAGTTTTCATCAGAAATGAAAACTTGGCAGGTATATTCTAATGGTTCAAGCAGATGTACAATCATTATTTGAAAGGTTGATTAGATGTGTCACCTAAAAAAAGACTCAGTGTTTCTATTTCCTTGTCTGAGTCTTCAATGGAGACATTAATAAGAAGGAAATATCTATTCAAGGAAATCTAAATATTTATTAGTTCCGCCATGCTGTTTGGGTTGTGAACTCAAGTTAGGTAAAATCTCTTTGCCATGATTTGTCAAAAGCAGATTTTTTGATGACTTGAGTGGATTTTGTTTTCTGAAATCAATTTGGGCAATAGCGCTTCAATTCTCCTAATTAGCTGCCTTGGCCCATTAGAAAACTGAGTTTCTGTCCTCCATTTTAGAAAGCAAAGACTAGGACAAAATAGCACATTACTGTAGTGGTAGCGAAGAGACAGATAAGGTTTGAGCTACAAAGAACAGTTTCAAAAAAGTGGTTCTGAGCAACCTTCAGTTAGTAAATAAAATCTGTGCAAATAGCTATTTGTGAAACTTGTATTATTTTCTCTTTTTTGAAGTTATTTGCAGGATTGATCCAGTGCTTAGAAAAATGACTGACAGATGAATCAGTTTTGAATCTCTCAGTTTCTATTCACACTGTCTAGATCAAACCTTCATCTTTCAACTAGGTTTTGACAATACCTTCTTTTTTCCTAACTTCCCTTACTTCAATGTTGCTCTCCTCTAATGAACCCTTCATTATACTGACAGATTATTTTTAAATGCAAATCAGTTAACATTTGTTGTCGTTGTTTAAAATAAATTGTTAGACTCCCATTTCCTAAAGGAGTGTTTCTCTACAATTTTTCTTCTGCCTTAACATGCAAGATAGCTGGTATTCATACAAAGGACAAACAGCGTGGACATACATAGCTTTAGTGTCATTAGCTATTTACTCCACTTTTTTCTTCCTACTCACTCAAAAAAGCATACTGAAATGCAAGAAACTGAAAGGCATGTAAGACTAGAACTCATTTATTAGAAACAGTAATCAAATTTTTACTGACTGCTATTATTAACAAATTATTGGTATAATCGTGTATCAAGATACTATAGTTAAAAACCCATTGGACTACAAGATAAACCCAAACTACTCAATTTGATATCCGTAGTACTAGCCTAACTCATTTTTTGCTCCTTCTTCAATTATATTTGCCTCCGAAGGGAAAGAATACAAATCACGCAGGAGGGGAGAATTTCTTAGCAGGGAAGAACACGTAGAGATATGGGAAACCAGAGAGCAACAGACCTCTGGACTCCACAGTTCATCTAAGGCTGGTTTGGATCCATGAGTCTTCTCATACATTCAACGGACTATCTTAACTAGGCTTTCTTACATTATTGACAGTGTTTCAGTTTATTACTTTGATAAAATAATAGAATTTAAAATATGGATCTGTGACATAGTTAAGTCACTATACTTGTTAGTAACTCAGGAGATTATAGGTTTATAATTTAAATTTCATAGTCATGTACATTTTTTACTACCATGTGAACTTTCGGAGGGGCAGAAAGTCGCAATCAAATAAGTAGATTTCAGTTATTAATATTAGATTTGATTACCTTATGTATTTTTAATAAAAATATAAAGAATTCTACACCTATGAGATTTATAAAAATAAGATTAATTACTATATCTGCAGGTAGAGTAATTCATCAGAGCAGAGAACTGATGAATTACTGTCTCTAAGATAATTTATCTTTGAAAATTCTGTTCTAAGCTGAATGTGTAAAATTTCCCATCCATTTTTATAGCAGAGCACTTTTCTTAGCCACGGATTTAGTAAAACTAGAATATCTTGTGCACAAATGTCTAAGTTCTGATAAAGAAAATCTCACATTCTTAAATTCCACATACATCTTTTTAATATAGGTTTTTCTTTCTAGGTTTAATTTTCTTTCTAAGCCCCCATTTGATAATTATATGTCACCTTGAGTATGCTTTTTGATGAAGTTTTCTGTCTTCCTAGCTAAATTATGGTTTCTTTAGAGGAGCAAATATGTATTCTATTCTTTGTCTCCTGAATATATAGCACAGTGCTTTGAGGATAGTAAGGCAAATTTAGTTTAGAGGAAACTCATTTTGAGAGGAAAATTTATTAGCTATTTTTTCAAAGTGACAAAACCATTATCAACCAACAAATATTCAGATGCAAACACTCTCCTAGGTATAGCATATGTTTTGCGACACTTGCCCTCAAAGTCCTTTTACAGAGACAAGCCACATACCCAAGGCGGATTTATAAAATACCTAAATGAGTGAAATATATATATATAATATATATTAATATTTAATACAAAAGACCTAAATGAGTGAAATATATGTGTACAGTTATATATTATATAATTTTAATTATATTTAATTATATACAATTAAATTATATATTAAATTATATATTTAATTATATATTTAATATATATAATTAACTATATATTTCACTCATTTAGGTCTTTTGCATTAAATGATATTTTCTATAATTTTAGTATATAGAATAAGTAGAGATTTTTTAAAGATGACTTTACAAAAAGATTATCCTTGAACTTGTACATTAGGTAAAGAGACAGTTTGAGCTCATTGATCCTGTGAGAAAAGGCTTCCCCAGGCACAGGTTTACATGTATTTAAATGTATCACTAATATTACTTTGAGAACTAGACTCCTCTTTTTTTTTCTAATGAACAACTATACTTAATAAGAAATCATGCACATTTTGTAATGTAGTTTCATATTTACAAAAAACTCAAATTAGAATCATGGAAGTACGGTAACAAATTTACTGCTACTTTTGCTTTGTCAAGTAGAGAAGTTCAAAGGCCAGAAATTGAAGAAAAATAGTGGTAAAGGCCACTATTTACAAAAATAAATGAAAATAAATTGTATCCATGATAATGTACAATATTTCAATAGTCTTGCACTGTCATGGCTAAGTCTTGTGAGATAAGAACAAAGGCCTCTGATTTGCAATTTTAGTTTTACTAAATTACAAAGGGAAACTAAAGTTCTGGGAGCTCTAACCCTAGATCTTATATCATTTGGATGCCAGTTCTAGTCTATTTGAATTCCAAACCCATATTCTTTCCACTTCACTGTATTAAAGTTTACCTGGCCACCTATGCATACATGCATATGTATGTGCACACACACACAGGTTTAATTTTCTTTCAGGTTCGGGGAACAATTTTGGCATCAGAGATTTCTCTCGGTTGATCAATACTATGTTAAAAATTACATAATAAAAATTCCTGCTTTTCCTGTTGCATCTTTGCATTTCTACAGTCATAAATATTATTTACGCATTTATATATTCTGCTAGGTACTGAGGATAAAGAAGACAGTCCCTATATTCTAGGAACTTACTGACCGATTGAGAAAAACAAGTATGTGAACAAATATATACTACAGATAATTAAGATGAAATTAGTTTTCAGGTTCAAGGAAGAAATAACAAGGATGAGTGGACAATTCATTATATGGGAGCTCCAGTAAACTGGAGCCTCTGCCTTCTGAAATCTGTTCTTTGTTTGCTGTAGAGATAAGACAGTCTTATTACAGGGTCCTTTTCATAACTACAGTTTACCAAGTTCTTGGAAGGTGTCCAGCAGTGACCTCTCAAATGATGAATTTAGCTCTTTTTCTTGTGCCTTTCTTTAGCCTATACATAATTCTGTCATAGATGTTGAAACATTTTAGTCTTTATTACTTATTTCTTTATATGTTCTAACTTATCTAGACTTGCACCCTAAAGCCAGTGTCTTTATTCTCTGTTTAGCTAAATCCTAACACAAAATCAGGCTTATATAAGGCATCCAATAAATACTCGATAAAGTAAATGAAATAAATATGCAGCATTTGACAGTTTATAGTTTATAAATCCTTCTACAAAGTATGTGACATATTTAATTCATATATATGAATACATATGTATATACACACATATATGTAGGTATATGTATATGCGTGTATGTGTACATATATATACACAATATATATTTATCATTATTATTTTAGTACAAGGAAGAAGTTGCATAAATAAGCAATATTTCATCTGAATTACTGAATTTTTAAAAATTCTAATAGTAATAAGCAAGATAGATCAAAGACTAATACATTTATTTTCATCTATTAGGAAAGTGATGCTTAGAGAGTTTGTTATTAAGGCAAGTTTGGGTGGAAAGCCAGAACTAGGGCATAGGTTTACTGACTCCCAGATCAATGCCCCTCCATTTTACTACACTAGTAAATGCACTAACACAGGAAATAAGAATAATAACACCTATTTGTTCCTTTCACCCAAGGTTCTCAGCATGCCTTGCTAATTGTATCTACAGTCAGAGAAAATAAAGCTCTTACCCCTTCAGGATTTTGTCTAATTCATTCTGCAGACAGTGGCTGAGCCCAAAATACAGCCCTTCTTTCATTTTGATCAAAAGATCATATTGGTTATACCAACCTATTAGTGTCTAGAGAAGCTGTGAGTTAAATTTCTGTGCTTCAAAGGATAAAAAGCATTATTTCTGTTTTGAGATGGTATTAAAAAAAAAAGATTCTGCATGTAGGAGGTTCATTCAGCACACACACTTCTAACATACTTTTAAATCTATCTTAAAATAGAAATCTGTCTAGTTCCTCTGGATCTCTTATAAATTGCTAATGTCAATGCTAAGAATATGTTATTTAGTTTGAACTTTTAAAAGCAGTATGGTTTATAAGTTAAGAATTATTACATAGGATCTCAATTAGATAATGCAAATGTTAGCGTTTAAGTGCTTATATTTTTCATCCTTATATCAGTTTTGGGAGATCATATTTATAAAAGATTGTTGTCATACTGCAGCCGTTCTTTAATTCAGTTCTTTGGAGTAAGTGATGAATATGATCAAGCATTTATAGATAATATTTCTGGAAATAAATATGTGTAATAAGGTTACATAATGAATCAGATTAGAAATAACAATTATAGCTAAAATGGTGGAGAAAGGTTTACATACTTGAAACTTGTGGGGTTAAACATACTATAAAATATACATATTTTATAAATTTTAAATCTTACTCTTTGAGCCTTTGACTCAAAGCCTCTATCTCATCTATATTTATTCAACTATTGCTTCTTTATTATATAGGTACTTTGGTTTCTGCAGATCTAAGATAATTCTCCTTTTCAGAAATTATTACATAATAATCTAATATTTAATTGGATTCCCAAATAGCCCGATTGGTTATAGCGGCAAAAATAATGAAATTGTTGTTTTCTGGTTTAAGTACTGACACTGTTACATTATCTAATTTATTAATCTATAAAACTCTTTGGGAGTCTCTAGTTGGTAAGTTGGGACTTACTGCTCGATCTTTAATGACACCTGTTAACTTTCAGAGCTGGTTGCTCCCCATAATGTGATCCTTTCTGTCAAGAACATCCATTCCAACACCAGTCCTCGGTCTGCAGCATTTTCTAAGATGAGCACAATTGGCCAATCAATTTAATAATTATAATTATTAAGTACCTTAAATATGACAATAGTATTGTGTTAATTGCAAGAATATAAACATTACATGCCATGTTCTCAAAGAACTTATTAACAGAAGACAGAGCATGTTTAGCACAGCTACTGTACAGGAAAGTTCATGGCAAACAAATTAAAGGGTATATAAATTGAACAGGAATACATTTTAAAAAGCTAGATGTAAGATTCAGAGACAGTACAACGTATTAGTTTTGAATATTGTTTCTCTATCCAGACTACATCCGTTTAAATTACAACTTAGCTAATTAGTTGTTGAGTGATTTTGGGCAAGTTACTTGAACGTGCTAACAGATATTTATTATGTGTTACTTCTTTATTTATAAACTAGTGATAATAGTATATATGTACTTCAAAGATTTATTGTTAGAATTAAATAAGTAAATATATGTAATAGTGTCTGGCACATGGAAAGACTGTATGAGTGTTAGCTTTTATTAGTAGTAGCACTATATCTAAGAATAAGTAAGATAATAATGTATTGTACATGAAGTGTTTAACAGAATGCTGTTTTATAGTAACCAGTCAAAAATGTTACTTTATTATCAGCATTATTTTATGTGCTGGATTGCTGTGCTGTTTTGAGAAAAGTAAACCAAACCAAATCAAACCAAATGAAAAAATATATGCACAGAATGAGTAAGGACTGATAGATTCATACAACTCTTCATCTAATTAAAAAACAAATAATATGTTTTGATGTGTTTAAGAGATAGATTTTGAAAGTTATATGGAAAAGGGGATGAGGGATGGTCTAGGAAATTAATACCAGAGTACGTCTCAGGGTGAGACACACAAAAGTAAATAAAAACCACCAGATCTGGTATTGCTTCTGTATTCTGGCTGTGCTGAAAGTCAACTCCCAATATTAAACCTTAATCAGTTGCCATATGCTGGCAAAATAACTATTTTTATTCCCTGAAAAATGGCATAAGGTCTATAAATGGTAAGATGAGTGCTAAAAAAGAAAAACAAAGCCACTACAACCTAGAACTTCCCCTCCCTCCCAAAATAGCAAACAAAAATGAATATAACATTCTAAGTAAGATTGCATGTATTTATGCCTCCAACAAAGACTTGTAAGATACATCTCTGTTAACTTGACTATTTGGAAGAGAAGTCAAATGAATTTTGGAGAATGACAATGGGTTATCATAAACATAACCACTAGCAATTCCAATTTCTGTTACTATTCTAGATCTGTTCTCTTTATTGGAACAAATCAGTGCAGCATCTGGTAACTGGTATGCAACTACTGAGTTAGTGAATGCTTTATTTTCTATGCTTAAAGACTACCAAAAGAGTTTTGAATTCATTTGGCAGAGTTAGCAGTACTCCTACTGTCTTAGTCCATTTGGGCTGCTATAACAAAATACCATAAAGTGGATAGCCTATAAACAACAGAGATTTATTTCTTACAGTTCTGCCCACTGGGAAGTCCAAGATCAAGACACTAGCATGTTCAAAGTCTGGTGAGAGCCTGTTCCTTTTTGCATAGATGACATATTTTTTGCTACAGCCTCATATGGTGGAAAAGGAGGAAAATTTCCCTTAGGCCCCTTTTTATTTTTTTGCAGATAGGGGTCTCACTGCTTTGCCCTGAGCGGGCTTAAATTTATGATCCTCCCACCTCAGTCTCCCAAGTAGCTGGGACTACAGGAGTGTGCCACCATGCCTCACTATCTTTAGCCTCTTTTATAAGGGCACGAATCTCATTACAAAGTCTCTGTCTTCATGACCTGATCCACCTTCCAAAAGGCCCCACCTCCTAATATCATCACCTTGAGGGCTAGGATTTCAACATAGGAATTTGGGAACACACAAACATTCAGATTATACAAAGCACCTACTCTTTCTAAATTCTAACTTGTCAGGTTTTCTGTCATAAGCTAATCTCCAGGGATTTTGCTTAGTCTGCCATTTCTTAGAACATCATGCTGATCTGCTACACCTAAACGTATCATACATATTAGATTTGGTGAGTAGGACTTAGTAAATAACCCATGCACATGGTGACTGATATGGTTTGGCTGTGTCCCTACCCAAATCTCATCTTGAATTGTAGTTCCCATAATCCCCACCTGTCCTGGGAGGGACCCAGTGGGAGGTAATTGAATCATGGGGATGGTTTCCCCCATGCTATTCTCATGATGTGAGTAAGTTCTCACGAGATCTCATGGTTTTATAAGGGACTTCCCCCTTTGCTCTGTTCTTATTCTTTTTTCTGCCACCCTGTAAAAAGGACATGTTTGCTTCTCTTCCTACCATGATTGTTAGTTTCTTGAGGCCTCCCAAGCCATGCTGAACTGTGAGTCAATTAAGCCACTTTATAAATTACCCAGTCTTGGGCAGGTGCAGTGGCTCACACCTGTAATCCCAGCACTTTGGGAGGCCAAGGCGGGTGGATCACCTGAGGTCAGAAGTTCCAGAGCAGCCTGGCCAACATGGTGAAACCCGGTCTCTACTAAAAATACAAAAATTAGCCAAGTATGGTGGCGGGTGGCTGTAATCCCAGCTACTTGGGAGGCTGAGGCAGGAGAATCACTTGAACCCAGGATGTGGAGGTTGGAGTGAGCCGAGATCATGCCATTGCACTCCAGCTGGGCAACAAGAGAGAAACTCCATCTCAAAAAAAAAAAAAAAATTACCCTGTCTTGGGTATGTCCTTATAGCAGCATGAGAATGGACTAATACAGTGAGTTACATGCATGCCAGAGAGTAGGAGATAAACACATTAGAAATTTAGGGGATGGGACCTCAGTGGTGGAAGAAATGGTGCACATTACGGTGGCAAGAGGAAGAGTAGGTCACAGCAGGCATTATGGAAATTTGAGTGGGGCCTTAAAGAGTGGATGAGTCTTTTGTTGTTAGAGATGGGGGAAAGTGATGCATTTCTAGTAGAGAGAAAAATATGGGGGAAAAACATGGAAATGAGAGAGTGGAGCAGCACCAAAGCTGTTTTGCAAATGCACAGTAAAAACTGGAAAATAATGTAACTGGAAATGAAGCTGAAAAGGCAAGCTGGGTCTTGAATTGCCAAGCTAAGAGTTTGAGTGTTATTTTTGATAATGAGGTGTGCATTTGAGCTAGAGGAAATGTTTCCATAGACCTGTTATCCTGCAAGAAAATGCAGGAACTGACAGGAGGAAGTGGGTATGAGGGGAACATCCTATCATTTTTTCCCTTCCCCAACTCACTGACCTCAGGAGTCTGGTAGATTTTTATTGACTCCAAGGTAAGAGCTGCACCTTTAATTGAACACTTACAAAAATCGGGTAGGTTCCTTTACCTAGACTTCTAAAATCTCAAGTTGTAGAAAAAAAGACATAATTCCAAATCACACTTTCATGAATGATAATATCCACTGCTATGGCAGTTGCTCTGTCTGTTAGTTTTTAACTCTTTGAATAGCCAATCCCTTAAAAGGAGAAATTATTATAGCAAATTACAATAGCAAATTATTGATTGGATTTCTTACATAGAAATGGCCTGAAAGAAAAGGAATTGTTGATATTTGTGCTTTGTAATGAAATGTTTTCCTTAGTGGGCTATATAGAAAGATGTCACTGGTCCACTCTCAAGGATATTTGCAGTTTAATAGACTTCTCTTGGTTGCAGAAGGAGTAATAGCGATAGTGACAGTGGTAGTAATAGTAGTGGTAATATTATAGGTCATATTTATTTTGAATTTCCATGTCAGAAATAGTCCTCTCAATCCTGCCAACTACAGCCCTATGAAGTACTTGCTATTATTATTCCTATTTTACAGATGAGGAACCTGTTGAACAGAAAAGTCTCTGACCATAATCAAGGTCACACAGTCAGAAGGCATCCCAGCAGACACTCCACACTAGCCAATGTGGATTCAGAGACTGCACCCTTGATTACTGTGTTGTTTGATGATACTAGTGGTATGATTCATCATTCATAGAAATATAATAAGTCTTAGACATAATTACTGGAAACAGATTAGAGTTGTTTGTGTTTGTTTGTTTTTGATGGGTGAAAATAATTAGCCTATATTTAAATATGTGATCTCTGCCCTATTTGAATGTTTCTCTAATGCCAGCCATAATGAATCATAAAGGTGAATATGAATTATTATCATTCCTTCTTTTTAATCAAGTCACAACAGTTGTTAGTCATTTTTTAAAGTTTATGGCATTATTTTGAAAAGTATAGTTAATGTACAATTTCACGATTATTCTGAAGTCTTGACTTTTTGGTCAATTTACTTCCAATATAGACTTCCTTGCATTACACAAAGGACTTTACTTTAGATTAAAGTGTTTGGCCTTGTGACCAGTTATGTTAACACTTTGTTCTCTGTACTTCACGTTAATGCTATTGCATTTGTTACAGACATGTGATTGTGTGGCTTTTGATTTTTATTTTTCTGTGTTCAAATATTTAAACCTCATTTGTGAATCCTGTTTTTAGTTCCATCATATAAGATAGCTCAGGGCTGGGCCCAGTCAATCCCTCTAAATTCTAATCATCATAATTCTTATCTTGTTTGATAAAGGTATAAATTATGCCTAAAGGACAGTGTTCCTATGCCAGAAATAGGGAGGACCAATTAGTAAATGAATGACTCATCTTTTTGTGTATAATTTCCACAGTCTAATTTTGCTTAACAATGCCTCATGCTTTAATCATGAGGTTAGTGTATTAAAGCAATGGTTGATTTTTGGCTCCTCCCATATACTGTATGACATGATATGCTAATATATTCAGAAACCTAGGAATAGTTTCATTTATTGCTAGTGGTAATGGCCAATAATCAAGGCATAACTTCATAATAAGAAATTCACTTTCAGAATGAAAACACATCTAAAATAAGAAGTTTTAAATTTTCTAATTGTTGTCCTCTCCTGCAGATGATAGTTAAACTATTTTGTCAGCTATGATTTATAAGTACAGTACTCATTATGTTCCTATTCCTTTATATTTTACTATATTCTTTTTACCTTTCTCAAATGGGACATTTCCTCAAGATAATGTATATAATTATTCTCATTAAAAACTGGTAAACCGGCCGGGCGCGGTGGCTCACGCCTGTAATCCCAGCACTTTGGGAGGCCGAGGCGGGCGGATCACGAGGTCAGGAGATCGAGGCCATCCCGGCTAAAACGGTGAAACCCCGTCTCTACTAAAAATACAAAAAAATTAGCCGGGCGTAGTGGCGGGCGCCTGTAGTCCCAGCTACTTGGGAGGCTGAGGCAGGAGAATGGCGTGAACCCGGGAGGCGGAGCTTGCAGTGAGCCGAGATCCCGCCACTGCACTCCAGCCTGGGCGACAGAGCGAGACTCCGTCTCAAAAAAAAAAAAAAAAAAAAAAAAAAAACTGGTAAACCTAGAGAAAATACTCTGTATTTTATTACTTAGCAAGTCTTTACCAAACAGGTGATTTTTGAAAACATTTAATACTCTTGTAATAATTAAAGCCTTTTTGTTTCATTCCAATAACATTTCTTAACATTTCTCTCCAGGTGAGTACATTTTGTGTTTTTAAGCTAAAAAAATGCAACACGGCCTGCCATATATCATATTTGTTATTAAATGGCTCAAAATTTTAATTATATTTTTATGTTGGAATGCAAGCATGTATTGCAGAAATCTGAGGTCACTTTTAAAGTTCAAGAGACTTTTCAGAATGGTAAAATGAATATAAACTTTAAAAGAAATGTCAATGTTATTCGATACAATTACTGTTAAAAATGAAATAGTTAAGGATAACATGTTTTGAAAATTAAAAAGGAAAAGGGAAAACAAAATTATATTGCTTTTCTGGTGTTGTTATGTTGATATTGTTGTAATTTTACAAGGTTTGCTATATGTTAATTTTTTTCCTTTCTTTATTTTCTCTTCTTTTTACGTAAAAAATGTTGCTGTATTCCACTATGTAATGGACAATTAAGTATTAGAACCAGCTGTTTCATCTCTGAATCTTTTGCTTATCATTGCTGGGCAAGAAGCAATCTTCAGTGGGACAAAATGAGAGTTAATGTTATAAAATAAAAACAAATCAGAGAAAGTGAAAGGCTTTTTGGGCAGACAAGCCTTACGGATTAAGAACGAAAAGGGCCAAGTTTAGGTCCCAAGTTCATGAAAAAATTTATTCTGATTACATGGACATCTTATGGCTTCTGAAATAATTATTTAAGCATGTAACATATATAGTTTGGCTTCTCATTAAGGAGTAAAGAATTGAAAAGTTCTTTAGCGGAGAGTTGAATAGAGTACATGAATCTGGCATTTTAATAGAAAAATATTGCTAGCACCTATGAGGTTTTCCATTTTATGTTGATTGGCTTGCCTCAACTCATTTTTGGTTGTTTGCTTTTTGGCTAGCACCTTCATGAATCAGAACTTTCCATATATGGAGGTTATTCAGCATGTCCTTTGTGAGTAATGGTTACAGGTATAAGGTGCATACAGGTAGATGTGAAGAAGGCAGTGGAGGATAACAGGAAAATGGAAGAGAATGAGGAAATGTATGGTCCTGTGGAAGAAACACTGGAATTAAGGTCAGAGTTCTCAGCTTTAAATTCATTCTGCACCCTTCTAAGAGTAACTGTGGACAATTTCTTTAATCTTCTTTTGAGGTTCACTTTCTCCATCAGCCTGTAGGAGAATACAGGGTCTGAAAAAAAAATCCTTGAGATGCTTGCCTCATAGGCTCCTACATCAGATGATGTGTGATGGTGGCTTGTAAGTGGGGACACATTATTTAGATATTAGGGGGTATTTGCAAACGAGTGCTGCAAAATTTGGAGCTCCTAATACATATTCCAAAATGTCTAATAGTTTCTCTGAAACATAAATATTTATGGTGAAAAAAAACTTATGAAATCCTAGGTACAGTTTGGATGACTCAGTTTTAACAAAACATCAACTATTTCCTATGTACTTCCCCAAACATAAGAGTTAACTACAAAATAAAATAACCTGTCTTTCTTCTTAGATTTCTATAAGAAACTTTCAATGCTGTTGATTTGTTCATTGGCTGATTTTACATGTTCTCGTTTTCTTTTTATAAAGCATATGTAGGAAGAAAAATCTGAATTAAGATTTATGCTTTCTTGTATTATTTTTGTTTAAGCCGGCATCAATTGCGGGCAAGGCTGAATCCAGGTTTTGGGGGCCTGAAGCTTAATCAATGTGGAGGACCTCTTTGAGGAAAAGCATGCAAAATTACAAATACAAAATTAGGTATGAAAGTGGAATTTCATGTAGAATGAGAGAACAAATTAAAATAAATCACATCCCTTTTTCTCGGATCTTTTTTGGCTATTTATTGGAAATGCTTACATAAAAATGCTTCATGATTACAAGCTGACTTTCCCTCCTCATGTGGAATTTTACAAACCCCAGCAACTCCTAGCAGCCACATGGGCTGGTACAAGGTTTATCTGACCCTGGCTGTGAAGAAAATCTGTTAAGCTCCCTTTGCTCTCGTTTCTCTTCATTGGGGCTACCAAAGCACCCCACACAACTCTTTAAAAAGCAAGAGAAGACACTTTTTGAAGGATTACAATCTTTTACCCCTTCAGTGTAACCGCTAAGTGTTACCAGGCAACGATCACCCAAGGGTTCTTCATATAGTTTTTTGTTTGTTTTTACCTATGAATTTTAATAAAATTTCCTAGAGGTTAGACAAGGAGGCTTTGAATGATCAATTGCTTTCTACCTCAAGGAGATTTGTATTTTGTTTTGTTTTCCAACTACCCTTCTTCCTTCCTCCTCAAGGCTGGTGCAGGCTTCATTTACTTATTTATTTTTAGTCTCTTTAATTTCATGGCATATAGTAGTCATTCTCAAACTTGGCTGCACATCATCTGGAGAGCTTTCAAAACTGCTCACGTGCAGTTACACTCCCAGAGATTATTATTTAATTAGTCTGGGGTGATTTTACCATGCAGCTAAAGTTGATAACCATTGTCTAAGATCCCAACAATCTATATTTCCTTAAGATCGATCTTTATTTTTTTTAAAGGGGCAGAAATGGCTGAAAAGTCTAGTGGTAAATATGCATATAAGGCCCATTAATTTGACACTGTTTTGTTTAAAAATAAGATGGCTGCTGGGTTATTTCCAAATAGTGAAGATAATTGTTATCTTACTGAATAATTCTTAAAATCAATTTGGACATTGCAATATCCTCTTAACCACTGAAAACAGGCAGAATTTAGAGATTAACTTCACTCTGGTCTTTAGATTTACTAACTTTTCAAACTTTATTGAAACTAGATGGCTCCATTTATCAGGCTAGAAGTTTTTGGTTTTTTAAGATTTCTTAAAACTTTATACTTGATGATCCCTTTACTTGAGGAGAGTCAGTGGCAGATCAGAGAGTACAGAGCAGGGTAAACATAAAAGAGAGGGCTGAAAGCTGTGCTATACAGTAGAATGGCTCTAGGATGGGGAAGGACAAATGGGAAAGTTGGTGCGAGGTACTGATTCTAAAGTCCAGTCAGACATTCTGCCAAGTTAGAGGATGTGAGCAAGTTTCTCTGTCATTCTGTGCAGGGAATGACAGTGTAAAGATTTACCTTCTGAAATAAATCTGTTATTTCAGTGATGGGACTAAGGTGAAGAGATACCTTTTTAGGTGTTCTCAACAACCCAGCAACTGAGGTGTGATGCTGAGTGTTTTTATTAGACTTTTTGATGTGAGTAGATGTGTACAACCAGAGGGCATGTTTTTTTCCAGAATGAGGCAGGATTCTGTAGTGGCCGGGACTGAAGCAAAGGACACATCCTTTTGTGAGTAACACAATCAATTTAGGATGTTGTGACCAGCACTTAAAAATAAATGAAATTTAATAGAACTGGTAGAAAGTGCTGTGGGGTAACTGCTGCTTCACAGAACTTAAATGGATCAACCTAGACTCAGAGTGTGTGGAATGAACTTCCAACTAAGCGTACTTAAGAGAGAAGAAACATAGAACAAAGGGAATCCTCACAGTAGCTTGGTACTTTTAGTTCTAGAATATCTGAACAAAAGCTAAGAGTTGTGAGTAGGGTAGTGGAAGGCTGGGGATTATTTCAAGTGCCTCCTCTGGGACTTAGGAAGAAAATGGGCGAAGTATGGTATTTTGATAGGGTACTGTGGAAATAGGATGTCTTGGTAGAGAAAACAGTGCATCTTGGTATAAGAAAAAGTTTTACTGTTTCGAATATTAGTGAAGAATGAAGGTAGCCACTAAAGGAGGAAAAAAAATATACCAGGATGTCCACATTTCTAAGAGGAAAAAGAAGAATATATAGCAGCTTGATTAAACCAACCACACTAAGAAAATAGGTAACAATGTATGATAAATGATAAACATAAAATAAGATTTAAAAAGTAAAATAAATTATTTAAATCATTGAAAAAATGTTTAAGGCAATTCTTCTGTCAACCTAAAGAAAAGAACTGAGGCAAAATTAATATAAGTTGAGAGTTTATTTGGGCCACGTTTGAGGACTGCAGCCTGGGAGCATCGTTTCAAGTTGCCCTGAATATACACCCTAATTAACCACAGCTATAAGAAGGTTTTTAAAGGAAAAGAGGAGACAGTTCCTAAGTGGTTTACCAAAAATTTATATTAAAATAACATAAGCTATTATTGGCTATACATTGTTCTTTGTATCACAAATTTCAGGAACATGAAGATAATGGGTGAGGCAGCTGCTGAGGACCAAAATTACTTTAAACAATGACCCCTGAACATGGGGAGAATGTGACTGAAGTACCTACTCTTGTCTCTCTGGACCTGATACATTTTGAATACCTCACATAGCTCAGAACACTCTGAGCTATTTTCCTTTTCTCACTTCTGTTGAAAGGAAAAGGGACAATAAGCTAAATAAAAACAGAAACAAAAATTCCAGTTAAATACAGCTTATAAAAATAATTGAACAAAGTAATAAATTATGCCAGTAAAAAAGACATATCTGGCCGGGCGCAGTGGCTCACGCCTATAATCCCAGCACTTTGGGAGGCCGAGGAGGGCAGATCACGAGGTCAAGAGATCGAGACCATCCTGGCCAACATGGTAAAATCCCGTCTCTATTAAAAATACAAAAATTAGCTGGGTGTGGTGGTGTGCACCTGTAGTCCCAGCTACTTGGGAGGCTGAGGCAAGAGAATCACTTGAACTAGGGAGGCGGAGGTTGCAGTGAGCTGAGACCGTGCCACTGCACTCCAGCCTGACAAAAGATGGAGACTCCATCTTAAAAAGAAAAAAAAAAAAAAGAAAACATATCTCACTGTGAGTTATGGTCCAAAAAATTAATAGCCACTATTTTAGGTAGTTGGATGATTTCAACCTGAGTGTTATGTACTTAGTTGGTTGATTCACTTATTCTTTCATTTATTCAACAAATATTTATTAAAATCCTTAATGTTTTTCAAGTACTGGGGAAAATGTGTGCATTACAAAGAAAATAAGAAAAACAATTCCTGATTTCATGGTGTCTACATTCTAATGGAGTAGATAAGTAATAAACTATTTAGTAAGCCAAAAATAACTTCCTGCTATAATAAGAGTTCTGCGGGAAAGAGACGGGGTGCTTGCTATAGAATAACAGGAGGTGACATAATGTAGAAGGTGTGATCAGGGAAGGTTACTGAGAAAGTGACATTTAGTTGAATTCACTTCAACTTCTGTTGGATACAAGGTTTGAATTTTCACATCTGATATTTTACCGCTAGTTTCCTGTTTCTCAACCTCAAACCTCACATAACATTTATAAAGGGAGTTATTTCATTTCCCTCTATAAAATGAGGATCTAATTTCCACAGAATTACAATGGGCTCATCCACTTAATTAAATTATTTGGAATCGAATTAGACTTATTGTATTTGCCTTTAAGTTTAAAAAGACATCTGAATTTGAAGGGAAGGAAAAGAACCTCTAAAACAAATCTCTAAACCAGTCTTCTAAAAATAACATCAAAAACCCAAGTAATTAGCTAAATAGGCTTCATATTCAAAGAGAAATTACCAATTAACCTTCCCCTGGCCCCCTATGAGGAAAGACAGCGAGAGCGTTGAAGAGTGAGGAATTCCTGCAGTGGGAGGATCTGATCCATTTTGCGGGACGCCCTTGCTGAAGGCAATACTCACTTGAAAGAAAATCCCAGCCACTGATTCCACTTAAGTTTAGAACCTCTTAAGGGCTGAAAGGGCGAGCTTTGTTTGCTGAGAGAAAAACAATCAAGATGCGGAAGGAGTTGGCTAAGGAAAGTCTGCCCAGAGTCAGGTCTGTTTTCTGTCAGTAAGTTTGGGTTTGGCAATAGATACAACCAAGACAGTTGTTTTATTTTGAGCTCAACGCTGGTGAGATGCAATATACAAATATTGTCTAAGCTGTATAACCTTAATTTGCTGATAAAAATTGGATGTTATGTTTGTGTTAGAACCTAATGCCTTTCTGGAATTCAGACACTATGTGCCATACTGACTGCTTCTCCTTGGTAGGTTAGGCTGTCCTTACGTGACTTACAGAAGCAGCATATTTTAAAAAAATCCTTACCTGAAAATTGAAAATAGAAAATCAAAAGCTGAGTATTCTCTTTTCATTGCTCCCATAACACTATCTGTCCCTCTATTTTTGTATTTAGTGAATAGTTTTAACACTGCTTATAAATGTTTTCCTTTAGATTATGAACTCGAGGGATCTTGTATTTTTCTTTCCTTTTTTTCTCTTTCTTTCTTTCTTTTTCTTTCTTTTTCTTTCTTTCCTTCCTTTCTTCCGCCCCCTCCCTCCCCCTTCCCCTTCCTCACCCCCTCCCCTCCCCTCCCCTCCCCTTCCCTTTCTGTCTCATTCTATCACCCAGGCTGGATTGCAGTGGCACAATCTCACTGCATCCTATGCCTCCTGGGTTCAAGCAATTCTCATGCCTCAGCCCCCGAGTAGCTGGGATTACAGGCACATGCTACCATGCCCGGCTAATTTTTGTATTTTTAGTAGAGGTGGGATTTTGCTATGTTGGCCATGCTGGTCTTGAACTCCTGGGCTCAGGGGTGATCCGCTTACCTCAGCCTCCCAAAGTGCTGGGATTATAAGCATGAGCCACCGCACCCAGCCAGATCTTGTTTATCTTTGTAATATCAGTGCCAAACCATTTCTGACCTACTTAGACAATGCTGAATTTAAAACAAAATTGGGAATGCTTTATCAACCTTACTTAAAACGTATAAACTCACTCCAACTTGGGCTTTTGTCCCTTTCCCTATGATAAAATTATGTTTGCCACTGACGTCCATGGCCTTCAGTGGCCGATACTGTACCTATTGTCAGCGTTGGGCATGATTAGCTTTGCTTTCCTTCTGGGACAACATAATTTTTTGTTTTTCTCCCCTCCTCAACCACCGGAGTGCCTCAGGGCTCAGGTCAAGGATCCGTTCTTCATCAGCACAGTCCACATGATCTTATTTACTCTCTTTGAATGTGGCATCCACATTTGTATTGAAACCCCAAGATCTCCCCGTTAAACAGCAGTATCATCCTGCTAGTAGCTTTCTCTTGGTTACATAACTGGGATCTCAATAGTACCTGGTCAACATCAAGTCCTGATTTTTCTCCCTCAAGCCAGTTTCTCTGCAAATCTTTTCCTTCTTTATAAATGGCAAGTCCACCCTTCCAGGGACTCAGGACCCCAAATTTGGAATGTCCTTAACTCCTTTTTCTGCTACCCCACACAATGAATTTACTAGAACAATCCCATTGTTTCCTCCTTCAATATGTATTCAGAAACTTACCACTTTCCCCCACTGCTATTACTATTGTCCAAGCCAATGTAATCTCTCATTTGGACTAAGATTTGAAGCATGAGCATTTAATTACAAAGTTCATGCTCCTTTCACCTTTTCTAGGTGGTTTTCAAACCTGGCTGTACCTTAGAATCACCTGGGAAACTTTAAAAACAACTAATATCCAGGCATCAAATCACCTCAGATCCCCTGATGTAATTTGTCTGGTGTGGAGCCCAGGCATGGGTATTTTTCTTATTTTGATAATCTATGGGTGATTCAAAGGTATAGTTGGGATTGCGAACCACTGCTATATCATGTTGAAGGTGTGGGTGGGGGTTGAAGTATATCATAATGTAATGTTTTAAAAGTGTGGTCTGCGAACCCCAACTATCTGAGACAGGTCTCAGTCAGTTTAGGAAGTTTATTTTGCCAGAGTTAAGTATGTGCACCTGTGACACAGCCTCAGGAGGTCCTGATAAGATGTGCCCAAGGCAGTAGGGGCACATGGTTTTATACATGATTTTAGGGAGATAGGAGACATCCATTAATATATGTAAAATGTACATTGGTTCCATCCAGGGGGCTTCCAGGTCATAGGTAGGTAAGAGACAAATGGTTGCATTCTTTTGAGTTTCCGATTAGCCTTTCCAAAGGCAGCAGTCAGATATGCATTTATCTCAGTGAGCAGAGGGATGATTTTGAATTCTGTCTGTCCTTTGTCCACTAGGAAATTCCTTGTGAGGGAGGTGTGTATCTTTTTTATTTAGTAGCTATCCTTTTTTTTTTTTTTTTTTTTTGAGATGGAGTTTCACTCTTGTTGCCCAGGCTAGAGTGCAATGGCGCAATCTCGGCTCACTGCAACCTCCGCCTCCCAAGTTCAAGCGATTCTCCTGCCTCAGCCTCCTGAGTAGCTACAATTACAGGCACCTGCCACCATGCCTAGCTAGTTTTTTTGTATTTTTAGTAGAGACAGGGCTTCCCTATGTTGGTCAGGCGGGTCTCGAATTCCTGATCTCATGATCCACCCACCTCGGCCTCCCAAAGTTCTGGGATTACAGATGTGAGCCACCGTGCTTGGCCGCTAGCTTTTTAAAGAAGAAAATGGGAGGCAGATTTGCCCTAAGCAGTTCCCAGCTTGACTTTTCCCTTTAGCTTAGTAATTTTGGGGTCCCAAGATTGATTTTCCTTTCACAGGTCCAAGATCAACAGCATCAGTCTTCTCTGAGGACTTGTCACAATTGCAAAACCCTGAATTAGAGACTCGAGGCTTACGGTTTAACAACCCACATTTTAACAAGCCATCTAATGCACAGCCAAGTTTGAGAACCCTTAACATAGAGATTAAGGGCCTTGACTTTGGGTTGAAAAAGATCTAGGTTTTAAATGGACTTTCAACACTTGATAGCCATGCACACTAAATCAAGTAACTCAACGCCTCTAAGCCTAAATTTACCTAGATGTGAACAAAGGTAATGTTATTTACTGCTCTGAAAAATAATGAGTTAGTTAATGTAAATCACTTGGCCCATACCAATTGTTCAACAAATAGTAACTAATACTAAGGGGTATTTTGGAAAGAGTAATGAGTCAGAAACTGAGCCTATAAATAAGCCTATTTTTAAAGATCTGGGGAAGACAGTTATGGGAATGTGAAGCAGGTAATCTGAGAATTGTATGAGTAGATTATGCTTTAGAAGACATCAACAGCTAATATTGAAAAATGGACAAAAATGTCCAGCCTATGGAATATTTAAAGAGTTGATTTCCTCAACAGAATTGGAACTAACTCATGCACATTGTTGGACATATAGTAGTTATATAACTAATAGTTATACTAACATTTCCTACTTTTTCATTTTGTTAGATAAAGATATTGCTGACTTGCTTTTAGGGTCATCTGTTTAAATACTCTTTGGATGTTTAGATAATAGATTTGGTCATGCAAAGTACTGATGGCAAATGGGTTAGATTTGAACTTCGGGCTTATGTAAACTTCCTTTTTGAGCCAGGCCTCACTCCCTCCTATTCTCCCTTAGAGATCCAGAGTCTAAAAGCATTTGTACGTGGCCAACAGGAGGAAGGCATGTGTTGAGAGAATGAAAGGATTCCTGAGATTTTAAATCAGATTCACCTGTTTATTCTAGAATTTTTCTTTTGTGGTTTAGTGGCAAAGGACTTTGTATGTGTATGTATGTGTGTGCACATGTGTGCCTCTTTAAGATATCCTTACAAGGTTACCAAATATTATTATCTGTTTTAAATTACTTAGAATGACTGCATGTTATATCTATCTATCTATCTATCTATCTATCTATCTATCTATCATCTATCTATCATCTATCTCTCTCAATCAATCATCTATTAGTCTGTCTGTCTATCTATCTGGATGTGTGTGTGTGTGTGTGTAAATTGTAAAATAGTAATGCCAGAAAATGGCCTTATAGTCTTTTAGGGTGTTTGTAATTGGATTTACTATTACCACTGAAATTGTCATAAATTTGAGGAATGTGAGATGTTGTACAAAAGAATTGAACTCAAGCTTGATTCCTTTGCTTCAGAAGATGCTTCAGGTAGATTAGATAAAATTCTGGAGGTGCTTGAAAAGTTTTGAAAAACAATGAGAATTTAAACTTGGAGATAGGTAGATAGAAAGAAAAATCATTGAGCAAGATGGAAGTATTGATTTGAGAACATTTGCTGAAAAATGTGAGTGCAGGGGATATTGCATAATACACTGGCACATACACATGAAGAGAGTTCTCAGAAATATGCCATGGTGTTGGAGAGAAAATGCCAAGAATAATTTTCCCATTGATCTAAAAGTTCAGTTTTTGGTTTAATATTTCTCATGAATTTAGGATAAAAATAATTGATCTAACTAACTGGTTTATGTTTAAATATGACTTTAACACGTATTCTATCAGGAGGTAAAATTTTTATTCATGGAGTTTAGAATATGATCATGTCACTTATGTGAAAAAATAACAATCAGTGAATCAAAAGATATACTATAGTATAGCAAATTTTGAATTGTGGTTCTGGCATTGATTTCATTAAAATTTCTTTTATTGAAATGAAAAAATAACATAAGCAGATATACATTTGGATGGTCAAAAAGGGAGAGAATCTCAGTTTATGCATTTAAGCAGTTTTCAGTAATACATTACTGCAAAATTTATAATACCGTGAATTCTAGATCAGTACTCTAAATGAGGCAATTAAACCTTTGTGTAAGTACTTGTGTCTTTCTTCTGAAAAAAATACTGGTCACTAATTTTCTGTTTTATATTTGTTAAAAAGAAAGCTTTATAGTTTAATTTTACCCTGGTTAACCTTAACTTGTCAACAGATTATTGAAGATTTGTAAGACTATTTACTCTACTAATCCATAAAAAATGAGGTTACCATAGTAACTAGAATGTCTTTAATACTCTGCTTATGTAACCTCTGAGATTCAGAATAGTTTTTCATCTGAACTCTGCTATTAGCTACACTGATTTCAGATGCTCTATTGAACTTCGTACTATAGAGGGAAGTGCTTTCTTTACTGATTATGCAAGCCTGAGTATTTTTAGACAATTTGTTCATAATATAGTCCAAGTGCCTTGGATGTTTGGGAAATTTTAAAGGTGGAAATAATTTAAAACCACTTTCAAAAGACTTTGGGAATAGCAAAGAGGTGGTGTTGGAATATTTGTTTAAGAAACTGTGGACTTAAGAGTTTCAATTTTCAGAAATGCCTTGAAGTAAAAAGGATCAGTCGTTTGATGCATATGTTATTCTGAGAAATTCTTCTATAGGGAGATTACATCTTGTTATTGGGAGACTATCTTATTAACTCAGATCATGTAAAGAAACACAAATCTTGCTTCTTCCTAATAAGTTCTACTACAAATAATATATACATGATTTTTGCAAGGAGTGAGTGGAATTGAGGTTCCGGAAATTTAACACACTCTTCGTATGGCTCATTTTCATGCTGTTGCCTCTATTTGGAATGATTTCATCATTTCTGCACACCTCCATCCCTAGCATGCCCCTAATATTTCTTGGTTTACTCTTATTTATTCTTTACATCTTATCTGAGATGTCATATTCTCTAGGAATATTGCTACGTTAAGACTTTTTATACATGCTTGTATAATATCTCTTGAAGATAGTTTCATGACCAATTATAATGGTTGGTTCACTTCTCTGTCATTCACTTGCTCAGGTGTCCTGAAGGAAAAGGCCAAGGTATTATGGCTTGGCCTTGGTGCTGTGGGCTTGAAGACCCATTTAGTGCCTTCATTCATAGTAGGTTTCCAATAAATATTACGTCCATTAGCTGTATTAGTTTCCTATGGCTGCCATAACAAAATACCACAAACTGGGAAGCTTAAAACAACAGAAACTTATTTTCTCCAGCTCTGGAGGCTAGGTGTCTGAAAACAAGGTGTTAGAGTTCGTTCCCACTGGAGGCTTTCAGGGAGGATCTGTTCCATGCTTTTCTCCTAGCATCCTTGCAATTACTGGCAATCCTTGGTATCCCTTGGTTTGCAGTCATCACATCACTCTAATCAATCTCTGACTCTTATCTTCACATAATATTCTCCCTTGTGTCTTTGTCTGTCTCTTCTCTTCTCATAAGGACACCAATTATGTTGGATTAGGTCCACCCTATGACCTTATCTTAACTATGTCTCCAAAGGCCCTATTTCCAAATAAGGTTACATTTACAGGTATCAGAGTTTAGGATTTCAAGATATCTTTTAGGGGACACAACGCAGCCTGCAACAGTAACCATCTAATGCATTTTGCCTTTAGGACTGGATTGATATACAATCTTAACCAGGGGCAGGTTAGTCACTAAGTTGCTAACTAGTTCATTGCTTAGTCATTTTACTTAACAGGATGACATTCACAGAATGAAAAGTACTTGGTCTGATTATTTGAATTGTCTTGACATCCAGACCTGATAACTCCTTAGAGAATTTTACATACTGATAGTGGTCTCTGTGATTCAGTCAGCAAATATATGAACTAGTTTGCTATATGGATACAACTTCAGCAGTTCTAAAAAGGATAAATTTATTTGCAGCAATTTCAGAAAGAATTAGACCCCAGGAACTGTGTCGTATTCAGGGTTGTTAATTCTTATGTGTAACTCAAATTCTCACATTTTTAATTTGGGTCATCTTTATTTGGCACCCACTGCAAGGCAGGGGGAGAGGAGGCAACAGAAAAGTTATTTCTTGGCATTTAGAAACTAGTTGATTAACATGCAAATTTTATTCAAAGTAATACAAAATATGCATCTATTATTTTTGGTTCATCAGATTGAGTTATTTTTAATTTTAATAAGATGCAACAATAATTAAGTGATTTAAAATATATAATTTAATAGTGAACTAGTTTTGTAGTAGCAATGATTGCCAGGTTGCACATGAAGCTCCAGGTACAGTATCAGCTACAAGATCCAACAGGCAGTAGGCAGAGAATGGGACCTGGAAACCAGCCCACATTGGTGACAACTAGAGAAGTTTTTAGAGTTCCAGGGAGAGGATAGCAAATAAATTTGAATTGGCACTAGGCAAGAGAGGGATTTTTACATGTGTGTGTGTGTGTTTGTGTATGTGTGTGTGTCTGTTTCCTTTTTAAATATTGTTTTAGGTTAAAAGGTTGATGTGGTTTTGGATCTAATTGGGTGTGAATGTGGACAGGTGGAAATATACATGAATGTTGATGGGTCTGTATATTTAGTACATAAATGGATATTGCAGCTACTGGTAGATGCTTTGCAACTTCCGAAAGATATGTGTCCTAGTTCTCTAAATTAATAAGACGTTAGTGTTTTAGAATATAAAAAATTATCACAACGGGTTTTCTTGTTTTTATTATTCTACTAAGCCAGCAGGGGGAAGTCACACATTACTTTTTGGTGGGCTTCAGAAATATTTTTTCAGACTTTTTCTTAAAAAGGTCCATGCTCTTAGTAAAAAAAAGTAAATAATTTAAAATAGAGAGCTTGTAGTTATGATTCTCATAAGCATGCTAGCATCAATTCTAAAAAAGCAGCCTGAAACTTTAACTTCTTTACCTTTTCTAAATAAAAAATATACACCTCAATATTCCTGGCAGAAAATATTAAATAATTACCTTGTTGTTGAGATATGAATAATGTTTCCAAATGGTTAATTTTATTTGTAACATCAGAAATGTAATCACTGAATTTAAATGGCGCTGCAAAAAGTAAAGGAGAATCTCTTTGTCAATATTTAGTGCTAGAAGTAAATTATTTTGATATATGCCACTGTATTCTTCATCTTTTTTTTTATTTTTTGCAGTTTAAAAACATCTGAGGAAGATAGAAAACATTTTATCTTTCAAGATAAAAAAAGAAAAGCTCTTTGCCAACAGAAAACATAATATGCGGACTCTATGGCTATTGTTTCTGAAAAATATAAGAGATGATTACATCACATTGTGTATTCTGTAGGAAAAACACTGTAATGCTTATATGGCTAATAATGGAATGATCTAAGTCAATATATTGTGCAGTTTTGAGTGACAGAAGAATTACACCATTATTCTTTGTATTTTGGTTTCTGCACTAAGTTAGTCATGTTCACTGTTTCATCATCAATTATCATTCACTCATTTTATAAAATTTTAGCATCTGCATTTAATGTTACTGTATGGTTTCTGTTTACTACAGCTGGTTGCAATAGACACAGATGACAATTTCAGAGCTGTGTATAAAAGGTCACAAAAAGTAAACATTCAAAACAGAAACATCTTACTTCCAGAAAGTATAAAATTGACGTATGAGTAAGATGTCAAAAGTTATGAAAACTGGAATGTGTTCATCTCATTACATGTAAATGCATCTATTTGAAAAATGTGTTTTTTAAAGTAGATCATTAGGTAACATTAGTCTTAAAAATCATAAATTCTCCATCATTATGATTGTTCTATGTTACCAATTACATATAAATGTTAAATTACAGAGAAAACAAATAGAAAATAATCATCACATGTTTAAAAATTTGCAAAAATATAAAAAGTTATAAAAAAATTCAGTTCAAGAAGTAGAACAAAGGGCATAAAAATAGTACTTACTGTAAAGACAAAACCACATAATTTATATAATACATATTTTATAGAATTTTAGTTATACTACACACACACATGCACACACACACACACACACACACACACACACACTAAATGCTAAAATGTGGAATAAAAAATTTACAGTGGGAGGGCAGGCAGAACAAGGTGACAAGATAGCTATACCTCCAAATCTATATCCTCCATCACCAAGACTTATCTTGAAGTGTTAAACCTAGAAGTGTATCCAGTAACCAGCCTTCAGAAGAATATTTTTTCCAAAGTGCTGTTGAATTAAAATCATAAACAGCTAATGGAATAGGAATGAAATAATTATTTTCTTTCATTTGCTGGAGAAAATACTGAGCTATGAGCTTTTCTTTTCACTACTGGGGTTAAAATTTTAAGCATTCTATTCTTAAAGGAGTGTCTTTTTTCTAAAGATTTACGTTCAGCAGCTGAATTTTAAAGCTCTGAGAACACAGCAGTTATATGTTAAGCCTAGTGCAAACCTGACCTAGATTATTTTCACTGGCTAAAAATTATGAAAAATATCAATAATTTTATTGGCAAAAAGATACATAGAATAAGTAGTAATCTTAAGAACTGAACAAGGCATCCAGACATACTGAAAAATATGGGGCAAAGCAATTAGAGAAAAATTAGTCATTTTCTTCTAGATAGATTATATATTCTTTAACAGTAAGGTTTATGACTATTATCTTTATTTCCCCACCTGCTCTTCCAGGAATAGCTGCATATAATAGTTACTAAATACATATTTTTAAATTATCAGGTTTCCTTTTAATTCATGTAACGTTTTAATCTGTAAATGTAATCACAGAAAGTCACCTCATTTTTAGCTTTACTGATTGGAGATGAGGATTGATATTACGATAAGAGTGATATAACATATGGTAGACCTAAGTGCATGAATTTTGTATTCCCAGGTATCATTTAAATTTCCTGTCATTTTATGTTGTTATTTGTAATATCTTTGTGTTAACATGCCTCATGGTAATTTAGGAGCAGTGACACAGTCTTACTAAAAAAATGCTAGGGCTCTTGGCTTAAAATGTTCACTTGCATTTAATATTACAGAAATTTACATGTTGGGATTAAGTGGCCTGAAAATGTAAGATAAAATGGAAGTAATGCAACCTACTGCAATAATATTGTGCCAATATTCAGGCAGGGCACAGAGGAAAAACACAACAGGTTTTGAAACCAGTCAAATTAATCACAGCCTAAGCTGGACAAGAGAGAGGGAACAATTGCTATTCATCAGATCATGCTGTGATGATGAAGGAAACAGATCTGATAATTTGATTACTGGGCTATAGATACAGAATTTTGGAAATCTTTCTCAAGTAACTAACTTCTGGGAATGTGTGCAAGTATTTCTATGGCTTGGAAGTAGGAGTTGAATCGCTCTTATAACTCGTATGTTTTAAGGTGAGCAACCCAGACACAACAAAAACTGTTCAAATATGAGATCAAGCAATAATTCATGATTCACAGACAACAATCAGGGAAAGGGAGCTAATAGTATGAAACTGATGAACAGAATATCAGAGTAGTAGCCCTTGAGGTATTATGAGCCAGAGATCTATACATGCAATTATAGGCTTCCACTTTTCATTTTAATGTCATGTTAACCCCTTAAAACCTTTTATTTGTGTCCAATAGAATCAATGTACCTAATAGTCATTCACCTCATAGACTCTACCTCAGGGTGGTAATTTGAGAGCCTGGAATGCCAGCTGAGGGAAGACATGGGAAGACAGCCAAGATCAGCACTGCCTTTCTGTCAGCCCCTACTTGATTTTCCTTGCATCAGTGGTGCTATCTAAAGGAATTGCTAAATGGACTGATGGATGTATTTGTTAATAATGACTTTATCTATATAATGAAGTGATGGTTGGTATTCCTGGCCTCTGAGAATTTTTGAATCCAGATTTTATAAAATATATAAGTCTTGCATTACTCTGAGGCAGCAAGACAGTGTATCTCTTTGAAATGAAGGTGAACTTGACTAAAATTTCAGGTCTAACATTTTCTAGCTGTATGACTTTGGACACCTCGGTTATTCTCTTTTCCTCACTTTCTTCTTTTATAAAATGGAGATGTTACATGTCCATTTATATGGTTCATATAGCAAACACTTCATATGGTTGCTGTAAAGAGAAAATGAAATCATCTATGTGAACTGCTTACTGGAATACTGACAGGTAGAAGATGCTTACTTGTTAATAGCTATTTCTATGGCCACAAGATGCTCTTAACTATTTAAAAGCTTCATCATTTGAAAGTGAATACTATTATTTAAACTTGAGAGCTATCAAATGCATTTCATATTTTCTGTTTGAAAAATATGATGTAAAATAAATTAATACCAAGGAAATATTGGTAGTTCACAAAGTCATTTGCAATAGTCTCCCAAGACTGAATACTTTGGGGCACCAAATTATGGAAGGCTAGATAAGTGCTTCTGCATTTTAATAAGTGAAGCTGATACTACAACTTTTTAAAGTAATGATGTATTTTCATGGCTCCTGTCTCTGTAAAAGCCAAGTGTTCAAAGAAATGCATTAAAAAATTAATGGATATACGAATGCTTTTGGTCTCCACTCTCTTCTTGCTATGACAGACAAAACAATGGGTGAAAGGAGAGCTTATTATTTCAAAGAGATAATTCCTTAAGTTAAAATGGCAGTGTTTTCTTTCTTTCTTAGGATTTCCTTTTACAGGAAGAGTTAAACACCTATTACAGGTTGAATTTTGTCCTCTTCAAATTCATATGATGAAGTCCTAACTCTCAGCATCTCAGAATGTGAACTTACTTAGAAGTATGGTTGTTGCAGATGTAATTAGTTAACATAAGGTCATATTGGAATACAGTGGGCCGCTAATCCGATAAGACTAGTGTTCTTTTTTTTTTTTTTTTTTTTTTTTAGACAGAGCCTTTCTCTCTCGCCCAGGCTAGAGTGCAGTGGCGCAATCTCAGCTCACTGCAACCTCCGCCTCCCAGATTCACACCATTCGCCTGCCTCCGCCTCCCTAGTAGCTGGGACTACAGGTGCCCGCCACCACGCCTGAGTAATTTTTTGTATTTTTAGTGGAGACGGGGTTTCACCGTGTTAGCCAGGGTGGTCTTGATTTCCTGACCTTGTGATCCACCTGCCTCGGCCTCCCAAAATGCTGGGATTACAGACATGAGCCACTGCGCCCAGCCAAAGACTAGCGTTCTTTTAAAAAGGGGAAATTTAGACACAGACATGCACAAAGAGAGAATACCATGTGACCACGAAGGCAGAGATTAGGGTGATGCATCCAAAGGCCAAGGAATGCCGGTGGTCGCCAGCAAACCACCAGAAGCCAGGAGAGAGGCATAGAATGGATTCTCTCTCACAGCTCTGAGAAAGAATCAACCGTGCTGAAACCTTATCTTGAACTTCTATCCTCCAGAAGTGTGAGACAATAAAATTCTGTAGTTTAAACCAGCAGTTTGTGGTACTGTGTTACAGTACCCCAATGAACTAACACCAGATAATTAATTAGAATATGAATTCTGGGGAACTGTGTATAAACTTGTATTCATCTTCACAGAGTTATTGCTATGAAATAAGTTACCATGATTAAGTAGCTTAAAAGAACACACATTTATTATCTGACAGTTTCTGTAGGTCAAGAGTCCAGGCACAGGTTAGCTGGATTCTCTGTTCAGTTTCTCACAAGGCTGTGATCAAAGTATTAGCCAGGCTACATTCTTGTTTGAAGGCTTGGAATAGGGAAGAATCTACTTCCATGCCCATTCAGGTTGTTGACAGAATTCTTTTCCTTGTGGTTGCATGACAGCTTCCTGTTTTTTCCCCTAATTGTTGCCTGGGGACTAGTCTCTGCTCCTAAAGGCTATTTGCTGTTCCTTACTTGGCACCCGCTTCACAGTCAGTTCACAACACTGACTGTTCACTTTTTCAGGGTTCTCTTACTCCATTCTACTAAGTGTAGGTGTCCAGTGGAGCAGTGGAGCCTTATGTAATGTAAGGTAATGTTAGTAGCATCTCATCACCTTTGCCATATTTTATTGCTGAAATAAATTCACAGGATTTTTTTTTTTTTAGACTGAAACTCGCTCTGTCGCCCAGGCTGGAGTGCAGTGGCATGATCTCGGCTCACTGCAAACTCTGCCTCCCAGGTTCAGGCCATTCTCCTGCCTCAGCCTCCCAGGCTGGAGTGCAGTGGCATGATCTCGGCTCACTGCAAACTCTGCCTCCCAGGTTCAGGCCATTCTCCTGCCTCAGCCTCCTGTAGCTAGGACTACAGGCGCCCACCACCATACTTAGCTAATTTTTTGTATTTTTTTAGTAGAGACGAGGTTTCACCATATTAGCCAGGATGGTCTCAAATCTCCTGACCTCGTGATCCACCTGCCTCAGCCTGCCAAAGTGCTGGGATTACAGGCGTGAGCCACCGTGCCCAGCCAATTCACAGGTTTTATGCACACTCAAAGGGAGATTAACTACACAAGGATGTAACTCATTAGGAGTCACTCTAGGGTGGGCTGATAAAAAATGGTGTTTTTGTTTGTTTGTTTTGTAACAAAAAAGCACCATCAGCATTCACATGTGCACATGAGCAGGAACACACACAGACACACACACACACACACACAAAGCAGATCAGCTGTTCAATTAGAAAATCATCATAGCATAACAAAGCCTGCAACTCCATCAAAATCAAGTTCTAAGGACAGGGCTATAGAGTTCTATTTACCTGAGGAAGATTAACCACTACAGACCAAGCCAAGATACTCTGGGATGTCCATTGCCATTCTTCAAAAGGCTCTTTAGTTTTTCAATATTTCCCAAGCTATGATTAAACGTATTACCATCTTTTATATACATAGAAAAGATATATTTAAACACCTCTGGTCTACACCTGAAATAAGAATGAAATGTTGGGAGGGTGGAGCCAAGATAGCTGAATAGGAACAGCTCCAGTCTACAGCTCCCAGCGTGAGCGATGCAGAAGATGGGTGATTTCTGCATTTCCAACTGAGGTACTGGGTTCATCTCACTGGGGAGTGTCAGACAGTGGGTGCAGGACAGTGGGTGCAGCGCACTGAGCGTAAGCCGAAGCAGGACGAGGTATTGCCTCACCCGGGAAGTGCAAGGGGTCAGGGAATTCGCTTTCCTAGTCAAAGAAAGGGATGACAGATGGCACCTGGAAAAATCTGGTCACTCCCACCCTAATACTGTGCTTTTCCAATGGCCTTAGCAAATGGCACACCAGGAGATTATATCCTGCGCCTGGCTTGGAGGGTCATACGCCCACGGATCCTCGCTCACTGCTAGCACAGCAGTCCAAGATCAAACTGCAAGGTGGCAGTGAGGTTGGGGGAGGGGCGCCCACCATTGCCGAGGCTTGAGTAGGTAAACAAAGCAGCTGGGAAGCTCAAACTGGGTGGAGCCCACCGCAGCTCAAGAAGGCCTGCCTGCCTCTGTAGACTCCACCTCTGGGGGCAGGGCACAGACAAACAAAAAGACAGCAGTAACCTCTGCAGACTTAAATGTCCCTGTCTGACAGTTTTGAAGAGAGTAGTGGTTCTCCCAGCATGCAGCTGGAGATCTGAGAACAGACAGACTGCCTTCTCAAGTGGGTCCCTGACCCCCGAGTAGCCTAACTGGGAGGCACCCCCTAGTAGTGGCAGACTGACACCTTACATGGCCGGGTACTCCTCTGAGACAAAACTTCCAGAGGAACGATCAGGAAGCAACATTTGCTGTTCACCAATATCCGCTGTTCTGCAGCCTCCGCTGCTGATACCCAGGCAAACAGGGTGTGGAGTGAACCTCCAGCAAACTCCAACAGATATGCAACTGAGGGTCCTGACTGTTAGAAGGAAAACTAACAAGCAGAAAGGACATCCACACCAAAACCCCATCTGTACATCACCATCATCAAAGACCAAAGGTAGATAAAACCACAAAGATGGGGAAAAAACAGAGCAGAAAAACTGGAAACTCTAAAAATCAGAGCACCTCTCCTCCTCCAAAGGAGTGCAGTTCCTCACCAGCAACGGAACAAAGCTGGATGGAGAATGACTTTGACAAGTTGAGAGAAGAAGGCTTCAGATGATCAAACTACTCCAAGCTAAAGGAGGAAGTTCGAACCCATGGCAAAGAAGTTAAAAACCTTGAAAAAAAATTAGATGAATGGCTAACTAGAATAACCAATGCAGAGAAGTCCTTAAAGGACCTGAAGGAGCTGAAAACCAAGGCACGAGAACCACGTGACAAATGCACAAGCCTCAGTAGCCAATTCGATCAACTGGAAGAAAGGGTATCAGTGATGGAAGATCAAATGAATGAAATGAAGTGAGAAGAGAAGTTTAGAGAAAAAAGAATAAAAAGAAATGAACAAAGCCTCCAAGAAATATGGGACTATGTGAAAAGACCAAATCTACATCTGATTGGTGTACCTGAAAGTGACAGGGAGAATGGAACCAAGTTGGAAAACACTCTGCAGGATATTATCCAGGAGAACTTCTCCAATCTAGCAAGGCAGGCCAATATTCAAATTCAGGAAATACAGAGAATGCCGTAAAGACACTCCCTGAGAAAAGCAACTCCAAGACACGTAATTATCATATTCACCAAAGTTGAAATGAAGGAAAAAATGTTAAGGGCAGCCATAGAGAAAGGTCGGGTTACCCACAAAGGGAAGCCCATCAGAGTAACAGCTGATCTCTTGGCAGAAACTCTGCAAGCCAGAAGAGAGTAGGGGCCAATATTCAACATTCTTAAAGAAAATAATTTTCAACTCAGAATTTCACGTCCAGCCAAACTAAGCTTCATAAGTGAAGGAGAAATAAAATACTTTACAGACAAGCAAATGCTGAGAGATTTTGTCACCACCAGGCCTGCTCTAAAAGAGCTCCTGAAGGAAGTACTAAACATGGAAAGGAACAACCAGTACCAGCCATTGCAAAAACATGCCAAATTGTAAAGACCATTGAGGCTAGGACGAAACTGCATCAACTAACGAGCAAACTAACCAGCTAACATCATAATGACAGGATCAAATTCACACATAACAATATTAACCTTAAATGTAAATGGGCTAAATTCTCCACTTAAGAGACACAGACTGGCAAATTGGATAAAGAGTCAAGACCCATCAGTGTGCTGTATTCAGGAAACCCATCTCAAGTGCAGAGACACATATAGGCTGAAAATAAAGGGATGGAGGAAGATCTACCAAGCAAATGGAAAACAAAAAAAGGCAGAGGTTGCAATCCTAGTCTCTGATAAAACAGACTTTAAACCAACAAAGATCAAAAGAGACAAAGAAGGCCATTATGTAATGGTAAAGGGATCAATTCAACAAGAAGAGCTAACTATCCTAAATATATATGCACCCAATACAGGAGCACCCAGATTCATAAAGCAAGTCCTTAGTGACCTACAAAGAGACTTCGACTCCCACACAATAATAATGGGAGACTTTAACACCCCACTGTCAACATTAGACAGATCAACGAGACAGAAAGTTAACAAGGATATCCAGGAATTGAACTGAGCTCTGCACCAAGCAGACCTAATAGACATCTACAGAACTCTCCACCCCAAATCAACAGAATATACATTCTTCTCAGCACCACACCACACCTATTCCAAAATTGAGCACATAGTTGGAAGTAAAGCACTCCTCAGCAAATGTAAAAGAACAGAAATTATAACAAACTGTCTCTCAGACCATAGTGCAATCAAACTAGAACTCAGGATTAAGAATCTCACTCAAAACCGCTCAACTACATGGAAACTGAACAACCTGCTCCTGAATGACTACTGGGTACATAATGAAATGAAGGCAGAAATAAAGAAGTTCTTTGAAACCAACGAGAACAAAGACACAACATAACAGGATCTCTGGAACACATTCAAAGCAGTGTGTAGAGGGAAATTTATAGCACTAAATGCCCGCAAGAGAAAGCAGGAAAGATCTAAAATTGACGCCCTAACATCACAATTAAAAGAACTAGAGAAGCAAGAGCAAACACATTCAAAAGCTAGCAGAAGGCAAGAAATAACTAAAATCAGAGCAGAACTGAAGGAAATAGAGACACAAAATACCCTTCAAAAAATCAATGAATCCAGGAGCTGGGTTTTTGAAAAGACCAACAAAATTGATAGACCGCTAGCAAGACTAATAAAGAAGAAAAGAGAGAAGAATCAAATAGATGCAATAAAAAATGCTAAAGGGGATATCACCACCAATCCCACAGAAATACAAACTACCATCAGAGAATACTATAAACATCTCTATGCAAATAAACTAGAAAATCTAGAAGAAATGGATAAATTCCTTGACACATACACCCTCCCAAGACTAAACCAGGAAGAAGTTGAATCTCTGAATAGACCAATAACAGGCTCTGAAACTGAGGCAATAATTAATAGCTTACCAACCAAAAAAAGTCCAGGACCAGATGGATTCACAGCCGAATTCTACCAGAGGTACAAAGAGGAGCTGGTACCATCCCTTCGGAAACTATTCCAATCAATAGAAAAAGAGGGAATCCTCTCTAACTCATTTTGTGAGGCCAGCATCATCCTGACACCAAAGCCTGGCAGAGACACAACAAAAAAAAGAGAATTTTAGACCAATATTCCTGATGAACATCAATGCAAAAATCCTCAATAAAATACTAGCAAACAAAATCCAGCAGCACATCAAAAAGCTTATCCACCATGATCAAGTGGGCTTCATCCCTGGGATGCAAGGCGGGTTCAACATATGCAAATAAATAAACGTAATCCAGCATATAAACAGAACCAAAGACAAAAACCAGATGATTATCTCAATAGATGCAGAAAAGGCCTTTGACAAAATTCAACAACGCTTCATGCTAAAAACTCTCAGTAAATTAGGTATTGATGGGACATATCTCAAAATAATGAGAGCTATCTATGACAAACCCACAGCCCATATCATACTGACTGGGCAAAAACTGGAAGCATTCCCTTTGAAAACAGGCACAAGACAGGGATGCCCTCTCTCACCACTCCTATTCAACACAGTGTTGGAAGTTCTGGCCAGGGCAATCAGGCAGGAGAAGGAAATAAAGGGTATTCAATTAGGAAAAGAGGAAGTCAAATTGTCCCTGTTTGCAGATGACATGATTGTGTATCTAGAAAACCCCATCGTCTCAGCCCCAAATCTCCTTAAGCTGATAGGCAACTTCAGCAAAGTCTCAGGATACAAAATCAATGTACAAAAATCACAAGCATGCTTATAAACCAATAACAGACAAACAGAGAGCCAAATCATGAGTGAACTCCCATTCACAATTGCTTCAAAGAGAATCAAATACCTAGGAATCCAGCTTACAAGGGACATGAAGGACCTCTTCAAGGAGAACTACAAACCATTGCTCAATGAAATAAAAGAGGATACAAACAAATGGAAGAACATTCCATGCTCATGGGTAGGAAGAATCAATATTGTGAAAATGGCCATACTGCCCAAGGTGATTTATAGATTCAATGCCATCCCCATGAAGCTACCAATGACTTTCTTCACAGAATTGGAAAAAACTACTTTAAAGTTCACATGGAACCAAAAGAGAGCCCGCATCGCCAAGTCAATCCTAAGCCAAAAGAACAAAGCTGGAGGCATCACGCTACCTGACTTCAAACTATACTACAAGGTGACAGTAACCAAAACAGCATGGTACTGGTACCAAAACAGAGATATAGACCAATGGAACAGAACAGAGCCCTCAGAAATAATGCCGCATATCTACAACCGTCTGATCTTTGACAAACCTGAGAAAAACAAGCAATGGGGAAAGGATTCCCTATTTAATAAATGGTGCTGGGAAAACTGGCTAGCCATATGTAGAAAGCTGAAACTGGATCCCTTCCTTACACCTTATACAATAATTAATTCAAGGTGGATTAAAGACTTAAATGTTAGACCTAAAACCATAAAAACCCTAGAAGAAAACCTAGGCAATACCATTCAGGACATAGACATGGGCAAGGGCTTCATGTCTAAAACACCAACAGCAATGGCAACAAAAGCCAAAATTGACAAATGGGATCTAATTAAACTAAAGAGCTTCTGCACAGCAAAAGAAACTACCATCAGAGTGAACAGGCAACCTACAGAATGGGAAAAAAATTTTGTAGTCTACTCATCTGACAAAGGGCTAATATGCAGAATCTACAATGAACTCAAACAAATTTACAAGAAAAAAACAAACCACCCCATCAAAAAGTGGGTGAAGGATATGAACAGACACTTCTCAAAAGAAGACATTTATGCAGTGAAAAGACACATGAAAAAATGCTCATCATCACTGGCCATCAGAGAAATGCAAATCAAAACCACTATGGGATACCATCTCACACCAGTTAGAATGGCGATCATTAAAAAGTCAGGAAACAACAGGTGCTGGAGAGAATGTGGAGAAATAGGAACACTTTTACACTGTTGGTGGTACTGTAAACTAGTTCAACCACTGTGGAAGTCAGTGTGGCGATTCCTCAGGGATCTAGAAGTAGAAATACCATTTGACCCAGCGATCCCATTACTAGGTATATACCCAAAGGATTATAAAACACACTGCTATAAAGACACATGCACACGTATGTTTATTGTGGTAGTATTCACAATAGCAAAGACTTGGAACCAACCCAAATGTCCAACATTTGGATAGACTGGATTAAGAAAATGTGGCACATATACACCATGGAATACTATGCAGCCATAAAAAGGATGATTTCATGTCCTTTGCAGGGACATGGATGAAGCTGGAAACCATCATTCTCAGCAAACTATCGCAAGGACAAAAAACCAAACACCGCATGTTCTCACTCATAGGTGGGAATTGAACAATGAGAACACATGGACACAGGAAGGGGAACATCACACACTGGGGCCTGTTTTGGGGTGGGGGGAGTGGGGAGGGATAGCATTAGGAGATATACCTAATGTTAAATGATGAGTTAATGGGTGCAGCACACCAACATGGCACATGTATACATATGTAACAAACCTGCACTTTGTGCATATGTATGCTAAAACTTAAAGTATAATAAAAAAAGAATGAAATGTTTAGAATTATATAGAAAAAAATAAGAGTATGTTTGAATTATAAGAATCAAAAGAAGAAAAAATAAAATTGACCAAAATTATTGGTGTATTTTGATTAACTACTTATTTCAATGAGATATATAACTAAATATAGTTAGTAAAGGGCTAAAATACTAATATTGTAGATAAATTTTGGAAATTTTAATTAAACATAATTGGAAAAGTATTTTCCAAGTCCTAGGTCTATTTATTCTGAAAAAGTTTAGACATTGTGATTCAGTTATAATTTAGACATATACTACAAGGTAAATTGCATTTCTGTTAATACTATATTTTTCTAGGTATACAGTTTATAGATAAAAGGGAAAACGTTTCAAAATTTAACTCAAACTTGTATATTATCTGAGTTTATATTAAAATCATGGAGTGTAGTCTCTTACTTGTATCTTTACATTTAAAAAGATTTTTTTGAAGTGATATATTGATTAAACAGACATTCTGCAGAGTTGAAATTAAAATGTACATACCATATAAAAGGGTCAGTCAGCAAGGATTGCTTTTGAAATTTTACGTCCCAGACAGCCATCAGGCAGCCAGCAGAAAAATGCCTTTCGTAGCCATGGAATCTCCAGTTTATATCTCTGACATTATGTTGAGATTTGACAGATGGAAGCCCAGCAGTAGACACACAAAGTGGATGCCAAATGAGGCACATATACATAGCAGAGTGGTGCCCCAACCAGGTGGTCATCTTCTCCTTTCCAGAACCTTTCACATGGCTCAGTCCAAACTTGACTATGCTGTAGCGATATTGACATGTTCTTCAGTCAGTGGTGAATGTCAGTGGGCTCTTGGATCTGTGCATAAGAAACTTTAGCATGCTTTCTGCTCTGTACATATGTCCAAGTTGGCAGTGAGTTGGCATGGTTGCTGAAGTGTCTCTATCTGTCAGAAATCCTCCTCACCTTTGGGACAGAGATAGACAATATGAGTGTGTCAGCAAGAATGCTATCATTGGCTGAGAAAGGATGTCCTTGGAAATAAAAATTTGGGGATATTTTAGAAGCAATTTTATAAGTTATCTCTATAATTTAAATCAAGGATCTATTAATCTTCTCTAATACAGGAAAAATCCAATTAAAACAGAAAAAAAATTATGGCAAGTTTAGCTAAGATTTCCATAATCTTTCATAGTTCATTATCATACCTTGAGCAATTGAGCCATGAGTAGAGATCAAGCTTGTGGAGGACTAGAACAGATTTCTAACATAACATTATGCAAGGTATTAAAAACAAACGAATAGCCAATATTTTTAATAAATTAAAATTACATGAACAGTTGACAAGAAACAGAATTATGCAAGTACTCTAAATCAAGCTCGTCTAACCTGCGGCCCCAGATGGCTTTGAATGTGGCCCGATATGAATTTGTAAACTTTGTGAAAACATTATGAGATTTTTTTGTTTTTTTTTATTTATTTAAGCTCATCAGCTGTCGTTAATGATAGGGTATTTTATTTCAGATCTAACATTTTCTAGCTGTATGGCTGAAGACAATTCTTCCGATGTGGCTCAGGGAAGCCAAAGATTGGACACCCCTGCCTAATGTTCACTAATAAGTTTCCAAATATTTTCAGCAGGATGTGTAAGTTTCTGCTCTCATATGCACATATGTCTATACTTCCCATTTATTCTCCTCATCACCCAGCTAATGGAAGACATCCAAATCATTTTTGCTTCAAATTTGTCAGGTAACCTTGAAATAATTGGTTGAACTGGCTCCATTTTAAATGAACTTCTCTATTATCTTTTCATGTCCGTAATGTTATTTTTAATTGTTATATTCATTCATTCATCTATTCATACCAACAACTATTTACTGAACTCATGACCTCCTCCTGTTCAACACTTAAAGAAGTCCCTCCAACTCTGCTTCCTAACTAATTGCATGAATCACTATCTGCTCACTCAAGACAAAAACTTGAGAAACATCCTTGACTTTTTCCTTTTACTCATGTTTCACATGCAACCAGTTCTTAGTCTTCTAATTCTATTTCCTAAATGTCACAGATCAGTCATCCTGTTTCCAAAGCCAACAGCAGTATTTTTTGCTATGTATTCAAATAACCATGAATAAAACTGTTCAACCTAAACGTTGGGAAATATATCAATGTCATTCTCTTTTATGATAGTAAGGACACATTTTTCACAAAAGGATAAATATTACCACTTTTAGTCATCCTTGGAAGAATAATTGTGAAATAGTATGAGTAGGGATTAGAGCAAATTATGGAAATAAATTTTTCCTCTTGCATAGGAGTGGAGGTGAAGGACAATTGAATCTCATTTTTAGATGTGGAAAAGTTGTTAAAATGCTCTTTAAAAAATTAAACTTATTATTTCACTGACACGCCTATATCAGGAATGGAAACCTTAAACTTTTGCTTTTTTTTTTTGGTGGTATTGATAGGATAGAAACAGCAGACAAGAGATTGTTAAGTCCCTATGCAGCCTGAATCCAGGACATTTCTGGTCTACTACAGGCCGAGGGGGCTTACCTGAGTTCTAGTTCGATGGGTGAGTAAGCTGCCCAATGCCCTCCAAGAAAAAATGAATAATAATATCTAGAACATTCTAGGGCAAAATAAAGAAAGAGAGGACTTGAGATAAGACTGGAAATACTGGCTGGAATCCTGACATCAGTCATCATTGGTTAAGTCCTATGTAGTTGCAATGGAAATTAGTGGCTACAAACATGAGATCTGGCAGTAGATTCGGCCCATGAGCTTGAATTTGGATCCTCCTGGGATCTTTAGCAAATAATTTACCTTCTCTGTGTCTCAGTATCCTCATATAAAAAGAGACATAATAATAATAACACCCATCTTGTAATTGTGTGATGAGGTTTAAATGAGATAATACACATAAACATTTAGTACCCCATTGGCCATGGAATAAGTGAAAAATAAATGGATGATATATACTAACTCTGATTGCAATTCAGACCATATAGCTGAAAGTGCAATTTATACTGACTTCACTTCCACATTCTACCTGCCTCCAGGTTGCCCTCTCTAACTCATCCTCCACCATTGCTCACATAATTGCCAGAATGTTCCCTAAAACTAAAATTAATCATGTCATTTCCCCAGCCTCACTTTTTCTGGGAACTCTTCATAGCTTTCAGGTTAGATCAAAACTTCCCAAATTGAAATGTTAGTAGGGTGACCATGATTATTCTGGAAGGTTAAGAGTGAGAATTTGCACTTTTAATTACTTTGGACAGCAGGCATAACTCTGGCCTATCCCAGGCAAACAGAAACATGAATACAAAGTCCTTCTGGGGTCTGTTCTCCAACCTCACCAGTCAGTTTCCTGGTCCTTTGCTGCAGCCACACAGAGCCAACAACTGTCCTTGAACTATCATATTTTTCTGTGCCTTTGTACATATCACCTTCTTTGCCTGATAACCATTACAACCCTCACTCTCTCCTCCTCATTCATTCACAAAATTATTTGTGTTCTTTTAAGCCATTGCCAAGTTTTGGAAATCTCCCTAGATTCATGAAATCTGAATCATTTATGTTTCTATGTGTAATGCAATCTGGGCTTTCTTTATCACTGTAGAAATAAAATGATAATAGTTGCCAGATATATAATGTCTTCAATGCCAATTACCCTGATATCAGGATGATTTTTTTATTTGTGTTTTCTCTAAACAACTCTGCAAAGTGTACTTATAATTTTTGAATTTTTAAAATTCAAAAGTAAGTGGTGGAGACAATGTTCAAGTTCAGATAGATCTGTAACTAAGCACATCTTTTCGCCAAATTGGCCTCTCAATTCATCAAAACACTTATTACAAAGAATTGTGATAAGCTATTTATTATCTCTCTGCCTACATTATAGATTTCTTGAAGGTTAATATTATTCTTTATTCATTTTTGCTTTTAAATTTTCTGTACCTTAGTCCAGTGTTTGGCACATGATAAGAGTACTATAAGTGTTTGATGAATGAATACATCACTAAGTCTTGACCAATTCAATGACTTCGTGAAAAATAGCCAGTGTCTTTCAGTTCAAAGGCATGCTTCCTGAGTTCTGTACCATTGGACATATTTCTTCACCATGAATGGGGCTCTGATTCTTATATCTCAGTTGACTACCTAAGAAGGTCCTGGAATCCTAAAACCAGCACTGGGTTAAAGCATTTATAAAAAGGTCAAGGTAATCTACACATATGGGAAGGCACAAAGGGAGTACTTTATAGAAGGATAGTGGATCAGGAAAACAAAACATTTACTATATGATGCATCAGGAATTTTAAATAAAGACTGCCTCCATTATTTTGTTTTAGAATTAACCAGAAATGCTATTTTTCAACAACTGGCTGAGAGCATTAGCGAAATGAAAGTTTTGATAAGGTTAGGAAAAGGAAGAATGAGAGGTAATTTTGGAGCATAAGGGTACTGTGGAGGAGGCCAGGTCTTAATGGGATTTTGAAGCAGGGGACTTTGGATAGCTAGATGACAATATGGCGAGAGTGACAGTATGGTGGCTCTGAGATTCTGGTGATTTGGGGAAGGGAGGGTCAGCTCATGAAAGAAGGGCAGTGGCACAGAAAATAGTTTAGTGCTGGGAACACCGAAAGGCAAAGCGAATCTGCTGTTTGACTCTCATATTCCTGTCGACCGCAGGCTGACTGCTGCAGGCACAGATGGAATACCTCATAAACATGATTCCTTGTACTACGGAAAGAAAAAGTGTCTGAGCATACTTTATGACATGAGCAGCTGAGCATGCAAACCTTTGGAAGGATCTGTGGAAATCAGTGACCTTTAATGCTTTGGATCTAAAATGTTAAACTCTTGCTATGCTATCTCAACACAATACAGAAATCCTCCCAGTTTTTATTTCTACTTTGGTTTTACTTGAATTACAGTGGGTGTGATTATGCAATATCCATAACATAGGGAGAAACTTAGACTATCAGAGCTAGAAGAGGACTTATGAATCCCCTAATTCAATGACCTAATTTCATAAATGAGAACATGGAAGCAAAGAGACGTTATATGATTCGCCTGTAGTTACTCAGCTAGATTGTAGTAAGCTAAGCTGGTCCAGGTTTCTGGTTTCTAGATTCAAGCTTCAGGTTTTCTTTCCAGTAGTGCACAGTTCCAGTGATAATTATGTTATCAACTTACTGCTCTCTCTACATTGATAAATGTCTGATAAACAGTTGTTACATATATGCATATGTGTGTGTGTGTGTGTGTGTGTGTGTATAGAGACAGAGAGAGAGAGAGGGAGACAGACTCTCACTATTTTGCTGGACTCAAACTGCTGGGTTCAAGCTATTCTTCTGTCTCATCCTCTCAAGTAGCTGGGATTACAGGAGAGTGCCATTATGCCTGGCTTGTTCATATATATTTGAATATTTTAGAGCTTCATATAGTTAGGGAAGTCAGGATATTTCTGATGAGAAGGGGTAGATGCTGCTAAAGTCGATGTATAACACTGAAATATGAAGTATTGCTAAATTTATTACTAGTAGATAGAAGTATGGAGGACAATAGCAACTTATAGGAAAATGTACTTCAATTAAGAGGAATTGCACAATGACACAATTGTCTCTTATATTACACTCCTTTTTTTTTTTTTTTAAAAAAAAACTTGTTTCTTAATATGTAGTCTATAGGGCAACACTGTTGGCATCACTTAGGAGCTTGTTCTAAATACAGTTTCGAGTCTCATCCCTGACCTACTGGACAAGAATTTGCATTTGGAACAATCCTCAAGAGATTTATATGCACATCGGATTTTTGAGAAGCACACTTCCAGAGCACTGACTTTTTTTCATTTTTTCTCACCTTGAAATAAACCCTAGAAACTGATTTTCTTTTTAAAAGCACCTATGTCTGTATGAAAACTCAGATCAGGCTTTTATGAGGCTACAAGTACAAGAGAGTTAAGGTTGGGGTAAGAGACCTTTATGTTTTCTTCCAAAAATAAAAACTGTTGATCTGTAAAGGAACTAAAGTTGAAGCAAATATAAACTGGAATTAGATCACGATTTTGGTCTTTTCTGGTTATTTTGGACACAATACCAAAAGAGTTTCTTTATTTGTTACAGGTGAGAGTAATTATTCCTCAGGGCCAGACTCCTCAGTGAGGTGCCTCATGGCCCTGAGAGTGGGAATCACGCACCCTGGCCACCTTACTTGCCTCCTCCCAGTTCCAGCCTGTTATTCCTACACCACAGCATTTTTGTGGGAAGTGCAAGAGGAAGGTATTGGAAGGTGCCATTTATTCTTCATTTATTCAACAACCACTCATTGCACATCCTTTATAGCACAATAAATGAGACATTGTCCAACACTGAGAACATCACGGTTTGGATAGTTCAGAGGTGGCCTTCAGCAAATCAGTGCTGCAATAGGATCCTGAAACCAGAATTCTCTCTCACCTCTGCCAGTATTGAACACACGATCTCAAGCAAATCTCTTGGTCTTCTTGTGTCTTGATTTCCTCACGCTTAAACTGAGGGTGCTATGCAGGATAACCCTCAAGGTACTTTGCATCTTTAGAAGCTTATATTATTCTTAACTATGCTAGAAATGCTGAAAAAGCGTGGAATTTTGGAGTAGCCAGATCTAAGATAAAATCTTCAAATCACCACTGGGTAAGCTTGGGAAAGTTATGTAGCCTATCTGTAGCTCATTTCCCGTCTGTAAAATGGAGTCATATTGCCAGCCTTGCAGGCTTGCATGCGACCGTCAAATAAAATCAAATGTGTAGCTGGCATCGTATCCATAGAAGGTATCAAAAATGGGAGCTATTATCAGGACATTTTTACAGGCTGAGGAAAGTCTCATTTCCTATGAGAGGCATGGCAAATGGAAGGCTCAAGTTACTGTTTGCATTCTTCACCTGTGAAGGTGTCCATGAATTGAAATTAGCACTGTGTGTGAGCCTCATGGGATTTGAGTGTTGCTAAGGCAACCACTAATTTCCAAATCAGGGTAAACAGTTTCACAGAATGTACAGTTTCCTTTAACAAATTGGATTCCAGTGAGGGGTGTACCTTTCCTTCCCTTGCTGCTCTGCACCCCAGTTAGGGTTGTGCACCTGCAGATCTGTGTGCCAGGGGCTACTTTGATCTTCTGCCAACCACACTCTAAAGGTAACAGTCAGTAACAGAGATCCCTGAGGTCTGTCAGCTTTACCCAGTATTTACCTTTTGTATGTTGTCAAGTTGGAGTCACTTTCTTGACTCACACAGTAGGGCACTGAAACAGCTCCTTGGCACATTCGTGTGATAGACTTCTAAGCAAAGAGGCCATGCGGTTCGCAGTCATGTCGTTCTGCCTTCCTTTCCCTGCCTCGCAACAATCCTTATTTCCCTTACTCACTCAGGAATTCCTGCAGAGAATGAACCTATTATTAAGCCAGCATTGCCTCTCTGCTACATTCTTGTGTTAAATTAGTCCTCTTCATTGTTGCAAATAATAGGCAACCACTTATATATCAATGAAAATTCACTGCACTGCTGTGGGATTATTTCAGCTCTCGATAAACTACACATTCCTGCCATTGTTTATGGGTAGCGATTTTAAGTCCCTCTTGCTTCCTTTTAAATCTTTTCTTGTGGGAGGTATGGCCAATCTTCCTCATGTACTTAGCTTATTTACTCCTTGAACCCCTCTCAACAATGGATACTGTAATAGTGGCATCTTTTTGCGATAATTCCTAGTATTGGCTCCTGCTTTTGAATATGCCAGGAGCAAAGCATGGATACAATACTAAAAACACATAGAAGCATGCTAATTACCTTCTTTAGAATATTTATGATTTTTTTTCTTTTCTGGTCAAGTTCTGAAATCAGAAATAGCTCTACTAGCTTTTTCACAGCTACATTAGGAAAAGAGCTTGGTCATTCACTTTTGCTGAGGTTCCACCTTGTGCCAGGCACAACATTACGCCTCTTATGCATGCTATCTCGCTTAGAATTTAATATAACTCTGCAAAGTAGGTATTGGTTCTGTCCATTTTACTAATGTGGAAACTGATTGGAATTTTTAAAGATTTAACATAAAAAAATTTAATCTGGAAAACTCGTGTATCTCTGTGGTGCACCAAAATTACTGATATCATTCACTAAGCCAGACATTTTTCCCCATGCTAAAAAAGGGCAAATATATGTATATCACACATAAAAGGGAGCATATACAATGTATATATTTACTGTAAAGAATAAATAGTAAAACAGACACTTATGTGCTCACCACTCACATAAGGAAAAGAATTTACCTTCCTACTGTGCTTGTCCTGGGCCTGTTGGCACTCAGATCCCTTGTTCTCTATCACGAGAGGGATGGCTCTTGCAGGTTACATTACCCCAGTTCACTTGTACCTGTGTTAGGTCAGTGTGATTCATGGCAGGAAACTGGAAGTCAAGGAGGAAGTGAGAAACTATGGTGTCTCCTTTCCCCAGCCCATCCTGAGTAGCTTCCTTGACTGTGGCTGTGTGTTCTCCAAAGCTCCAGACAGGCCCATGTGGTTCTAGTCTGGACTCTGTTAATATGACCTCCTCCCTTTTTCTCTTTGACCCAGAGATGATAGTGAATTTCTGCTTTTGCTAATTGCTGCATTACCTTACTCTCCTATTTGGTTCCTTAGCTCTTCCATCACCTAAGTCAGTAATTCCTGATTAAATTGTCTGTGATGCAAATACTTGAAAGTTGCTTCTTTCTTTCATGTTTAGATCCTAACTAATAAATCTTAGAAGCCCTTGTGTGCTCCTCCTTGATTACACCTCTTACTCAACCCCAGAAGCAACCATTTTTAATCTTCACATTCTCTTGATTTTCTTTATTGGTTTTTACAAGGTGTGTGTCCTTAAACACTGTATTTACTGTTGCCAGTTTTGCATTTTATATAAATGGAATCACGCACTGGTTTCTCTTCTGTGACTTGCTTTCTTTTTGCAACAATATGTTTTTGAAATTCATGCATATTGACATAGGCAGTGGTTCATTCATTTTCACTGCTATGTAGTATTCCACTGTATAAAATATCACAATTTATTTATGTGTTCTACTGTTGATGGACTTTTGCCTGTTTCCAGTTTTCACTTTTATGGATATGCTACCATGAACACTTCAGTGTGTGTCTCCTGGTACATACGTGAAAAGAGTCTCTCTGTGACATAGGCCTATGAATGTAGAGCTTCACGGTTGTAGACCACATAGATGTTCAGGGTTACATGAAAATGCCAAATTCTTTCTCAAAGTAATTGTACCAATTTACAATCCCAACAGCAGTAAACCAGTGTTCCATTTATTCCAAATTTTAGCCTGCACTTGGTTTTATTAAGGAGTATTAAAGACTTATATGTAGACAAATCTATAAAATATATTTAAATAAGTTATAAGGTAGTCTTGTGTTGATACTATTTGTGTATTATGCAAGCAAATACAAACATTTCCACAGTTTCTATGTAAGAAACTCTTGCTTTTTTGTAGATAAGACTCCCATAGCTCATTATGGTCAATCTTTTCATTTTATGGAGATTAAGTGTTTTGTTAAAAGTGGCTAGTTAGAGTGTAAGAGGCTGAAAAAATTGTGGCTTTTTGTAGTTCATGTTTGAATGAGGCTTCAAGATGAAGAGAAAGAAAGAAGAGAGAGCAAATCATTCCAGAATGAGGTTCTAGACCACTTACTCCTAACTTGCTGAGGAGATGCCCCAAACAGGTTTTATAATTTTTAGCCCAACGCCTACTTGAGTAAATAAAGCATTGAGATTGAAGGGACTAAGAAAAATATTTCTTTGAAGAAATTTGTTGCATTCTCATAGTATCCTCACCACCCACGGGAGAAGGAATAACGTGCTTTTCTCTCACCTTATGCTGAATCTGAGGCTCGTTAAGGGAACACCTTAAGAGCTTGACTTCGGTTGACTGCCTATTTAGGCACATAAGATGGTGTCAGGTCCATTTCTAGAAAATCCTAAAGGTAAAGGCTGAGACTGGGCAGTTGCACTGATGGGACAGTAAGGAGACCAGGCTGTCCTGGAAGCCACTTGTACTCTAAATGTTTGTCAAGTCAAAGGATCTACAGACTGCAATGGCCTTGAGAGATAGCTTTGTGCTAGAAAATTTGGCTGGAAGGACTGTAGGATCCAGAGAGTCTGAGCAGGGTGGGTTGCCAGAGGTTGAAGAGTGAGCTGTAAGCAACCACGCAGAGGAGAGTCTTCACTGTGTCAGCTGAGCTACATTTGGATGTTCCCAGGGTGTGTGGATAAACATGAGCGTGATGTCTTCCAAATATGTGCAAAGGATGTCAAGGGAAAGATTCACTTTTGAATGCACAAGTTTAGAGAGCACCAACCCCAGATCACTGACGTACCAGTAAGCCAGTAAAGTAAGACCTTTCTTGCTCTCTACCTGTCTTTCTCACTCCCTCTTCCCAGTCCCTACAGAACCTGAGTTACGAATGACAGGAAGAAGAAAAGAAGCACGTGGTGGGGAAATAGAAAGCTTCACTCACCATGAGGTCCAGCGTTACAAATGCCAAAGCTGAGAGAGAGGACAACTGAAAATTCACAGGAATTTCTGAGTTTTGCTATTACCTGTACTGGACAACTTATTTACCTGAATGAAAATGTTTTGTGGATAAGAGTGACAGGAGAACATTTGAATGATGACAGAAATCATAGGAAAAAAAAGGCAGTTTGAATATAAACCGTTGCCTCTTTGCTATGTGAAATGCCAATTAAAAGTTATATATATAATATTTTTAAAGATGTAAACCCTTTTGGAAAAAGACAATAGGAGAGGAGGCAATAGGAGATCCAGCAGCCAAAGTTTCCAAGCCTGTACACCAGCAGGGCTACTGGTACCGACAAAGCAGAAGCAAGAAAGCTCAATCCTACAGATTGGGAAGGCCAACAATCTGTTTGATTTAATTAGAGACTTACTAAAAGACTCAGAAGTTGGCTAACACTAGACACCTGTGGTGAAGGTGAAGGTGGGTAAAGCAGGATTATTAAATGTCTGTTTAAATAGCATTAGGCTGCTTAGGTAACCTCCAGATTGTTTGATGTCTATATAGCCCTTGTATATATCCCTCTATATTCCCAAATAATATGCTTACATTCTCCTTTCTCACTTTTCACTTTCAGATATTATCTTCTAAGTCCCAGCTATTTACTTCCTCATACCTTTTTCTATCCCTGCTAGTTTTACTGTCATTTTGGATGTTTAATATATGTTATTTACATTATTACGACTGTGTAAATGCCACTTACTACTGAGCCATTTAGGTTAGTTAATGATTTTTCCTAAAAATGTGTTTGTTTTCCACTGTATTAATACATTTTTCCTTTTGAAATATTGATTAATTGTATATAAACACATGCACTCAGTGGAATAAAATGGTGAGTCATGTGGCTGATCAGTGGGATAAGAACACCCGCATTCACAAGATAAAGGAAGAACTTTAAGAAAAAACTGAATCTTGATATCAGCAAAAATGTCTGGAATTAGAACCACCAGGCAAGTCATATTAATTGGGGGGTTTGGTGTCACTTCTGTTCAATTAATTTAATATATTATACTCTGCATAAGGTACTTAGAACACAAGCATACTCATTTTTATATATGATTCATGCCTCGGCTGTAATATTATAGTGTTGACAGAGAGACAAATGACCAAAAGTTATATCACAATGTATTTGAAGAAGTGTTGTGGGGGTGACGATAAATCAGGGAAAGCTTCTCAGAGTTGTGAGACTTGTTAATTCTTATGAAACTGGTAGCAATTAACTAAAGGAGATTGAGGAGAGTGGAGTTTCAAACAGAGTAAATATTTACAGAGTTGTTTAGTATAGTATGCTATAGAAAATATTGTTTAGTGTTGTCAAGGATGAATAGAGAGAGGGCAAATCTGGAAGGAGTTAGATCAGTTTGGAGCTATTGCAGTAGTCTAAGCAGGGAAGGATGAGGGGAGAAACGAGCACTCTGTTTTGCAAGAGGAAGAAAACAAGAAGCTGATTAGAGATTGCATTAATCTGTTCTCGTGCTGCTAATAAAGAGGTACCTGAGAATGGGTAGTTTATAAAAGAAAGAGGTTTGATGGACTCATGGTTCCATATGGCTGGGGAGGCCTCACAATCATGGTAGAAGGCAAAGGAGGAGCAAAGTCATGTCTTAAATGGCAGCAGGCAAGAGAGAGTGTGCAGGGAAACTGCCATTTATAAAACCATCAGATCTGGTGAGACTTATTCACTACCATGAGAACAGTATGGAGGAAACTGCCCCATGATTCAATTATCTCCACCTGGCCCTGCCCTTGACACATGGGGATTATTACAATTCAAGGTGAGATTTGGGTGGGGACATAGCCAAACCATATCAGAGATCTAGTGTAAAATTTGAATGAATAGGACAGTGTTATTACCTGCACACTGGGGATACAGAGGACTCGGTTACTTAGATATTTTTGTTTGGGCTTATTAGACGAACAGTCACATTATTCACTGAGATATTCACACAGAAAGCTGATAGGTTTGGGTGGAAGATGATGAGTTTTAGATCTATTGAGTGTATATTATCTATGGGACATGTATATGAAGAGAATGATGAAGTAGGGTAACATTTTGAGATGTAAATGATGTTTAAAATATTTTCTCCTGGAATCAGTAGATCTCCTAGTCCAAGCAGCAAGGATATTTCATCCTCACTGCCCCAAGAGAAGAGATGACCAACACAGAGCAGATAAAAAGAGTTAATTCTTAAGTTTGTTTCCATAAGCTTAAGCTCTGACATAAAGATTTTTTTAGAAATGCATCATGAAAAAAGATAAAATATTCCTTTTCTGTAACTCTCTTCCCCTCCTTAGACTAGAGAAAAGTTTTATGGGTTTCAGAGAAGAAAGAAAGGGACCACTCTCATTTAACTTGAGTCTGGAGACTTGGCAAATTATGATGTTCTCGTACAACAAGCAAAGGCAAGAATAGGAACAAGTCATCTTTTGCTATGTCTAGGTAGACTGGCCACACTGGGCTTCACAGATTTTCCCACAGCCATTAGTGGTTTGGGATCAGAAAAGGATTTTCCACATCCCTTAGGATGTCTCCTACATGGATGAAAGAGGGCTGAACTTAGCGCAGTCAGCAAAGAGGTTGCAGCACTGGTTTTTATGGATTGATGAACAGAGTACCAACCAGGAACAGGGACATCTTAGCAGATGACAGAATGAGTATGTAAACAGATTGCTCTCCAACTCTCCCATGATCCCAGAACTTAAAAGCAAGTCTGGGGAGAAGGCAGATTGTTCCTTCAACTTATTAAAATTAAGCTTTAATTATCAGGTGAAATGGGTTCTTAAAATGGAAATAAAGTTCAATTATTGAAAAGTAAAGAAAACTTATTTTTGGGGCCTGTGATTTTGTGGCCTGGGATTCATACTTGCTGTATACAATGGGTGTTTGAATATGCTCTTCTGAGTTTCAAATGATTAAGCTCATCTGGAGGTATTGACTTGGAAGTCAACAATGCACAAGAATCGGATTACCTTGGTAACATGTGGAGCAAGAGAGAAAAAAGTTGAGGGTCAAATGTCTAAAGAACACCAAAATTCAAAAAGATGGAAGAAGAGGGTTCCTTAAAGAATACCAAGGAAGCATTAATTTTTTAAGAAGGCCTGTGTCTGAAGGTCTTACGTTGTTGCCTTTGTCCATTTCAATTAAAAAGAGCTAGCACCTATGTGTCTAGGTATTATAAGAAATATTATGTATTGCTAAAACAAAATGTCTTTCCTGCCTTCTTTCATTCACACAATTAAGCTAAATGACTTCTGAAATTACTTGTTTAATATTAACTTCAACTCAGGCAGCAAGGAAAATTTGAGCATTGCTATGTATAAACAGTTTCATGAACTTCTATTGAAAAAATCAGTGTCTATCTCCCTCAAACAAGGAAGAAACACTAAAAACAGTCTTCAAATAACATGCATTAGATTATGGGAAACTATGATTCCTCATAAACATCTGTATTAGAGAGTATCCTGAAAATTCAGAGGTTTAATAGTTTGGTAATTCTTGAGTCTTTATTAGAGTTTCAATTGCCTTCAAGTAAACCCATAGTAATGAATTTCCTCTGGCATGCATGCAGTATGCTCAAAGACTTTAGAGATGAAGGCTCTTACATAGGATGAAGCTGAAGAGGCTGCTGATGCTTTATGTGTCAGCCTTGGTAAAAACTGACGTTCATCTGTTTCTGTCAGTTGTCATCTGGGATGGATTTCAGTTGCCATTGTGAATACAAAAAGCTCACTATCCCATTACTAATTCCCATGAGTTATTTAGTCCTGTCTTTCTTTTTCTAAAGGTTAAACTCTTATCTTTTTGCTAAAAAGTTAGATAATTAACATTCTCACTTACAATGCTTCCATAACATCTGTAGATTATGCACCATTAATCAAGTTCCTCTGCAGGCATGATTGACTTTTGCAAAGCAACTTGGGGAATAAATCCTTTCTCTTTAGTAATAACTTTGTTGTTGTTATGGTTTTAAAAAAATCTCTTTCTGAGAAACTCAATTTAGAGTAACAGTCTCTAGCTACTTAAAATGGTTATCATAAAACCATGTAACAGAAATAAGAGCAAATGACGTATTTTAAAACCTTTAAGAGTGCTGACATCTCTTTGCATTCAAAAACTTTAGAATTTGTGATTTCCAAAGCACTGCATATTTATAAAATCATTTGTATTGACATTTAAATTCTCCATTTTCAAATGACAGAAGCTAAAATTAAGGACATACGCTTTATCAGCATTTTAACTTGAATTTACAATAGACTTGTATGGAAAAGATATATCAAAACTCAGATTTTTAACATTCTAGAATTTCTGTGCCTGAATTATTTGTCGAGAACACCTGCACAAGGCAAGTGCTGGACATTTATAGAAAATATGTCCTAGAAACGATTTGCTCATGAAAAAAATCTATTTTATATCTGTGATGTTTCCTTGACATTTTCTTTCTGCTGTAGGTTTCTCATAACGCTTCCTTGATCTGTCTGAGGAGATAAATTGTGAGAATTTTTTGGAAGCTTTAGAGATCTATTAAACATAGAAATGAAAACTTTTCTATCATAAGACCCTTTTTTCAATTTTCTTTCTCATGTTACTTTCTCCTTTCTTTTTACTTCCCCTATGTAGGTGGTAGAAAATATTTTTTGAAGAAAATGAACTAATATAAGGGTTTCTTTTGTTGTTGGATAACAGAAAACGAAAATGAATTAAGTCAGTAAAACTAATTGTAAATGTTTTATGCCCAAAATCATAAATGTCTTGGCCCAAATGACTCTTCCTCTAAATTTGGAATATAATCAAGATTTTCACAGAAAACAGATTGTCAACCTTGACACAGGGGCATCTTTTTTTTTTTTGTTTCCTCAGTAGTAGCCATAGAGATAATATTTTAGGTAGAAGACAGAGTTATGGAAAGGGGAGTAACAATGAAAAGAAAACCAGGCGGTATCAGTAGATCATGATTAGTTGTACTGATAACATTATAGAGTTTAGGTATGTTCTAAAGGTTTTCCACATAATCAAGATCTTTGTATAAGACTTAGGTCTCAAAAAGATGAGATATACTGTGCTACATATACTTGTCAGTCATGAGTAACTTGTCTTCTATTTATTAAGAAATTTGCTTGTGAGAATCATTACATTTAGTGTTCAATTAAAGCTTGATCTCTAACCATTCTGAATTATTCACAATTACCTATACGTTTTAAAATCTTTAAAAATTGGCTTATATTAACCTCTACTTCTTTCCTACTTGGTGAGCCTCTACTCATTCTTTAAAGGGCAATGAAATATCTTCTTTTTGAAGGTTTTGGAAACTCTTTATTCAGAAACAGTTTCCTCACTATGTGTATTAGTCTGTTTTCATGCTGCTAATAAAGACATACCCCAGACTAGGTAATTTACAAAAAAATGTGGTTTATTGGACTTACATTTCCACATGGCTGGGGAGGCCTCACAATCATGGTGGAAGGCAAGGAGGGGCAAGTCACATCCTACATGGATGGCTGCAGGCCAAGAAAGAGCTTGTGGAGGGAGACTCCTGTTTTAAAAACCATCAGATCTTGTGAGACTTACTCACTACCATGAGAACAGCATTGGAAAGCCCTGCCTTCATGATTCAATTATGTCCCACCAGGTCCCTCCCACAACACGTGCAAATTATGGGAGCTACAAGATGAGATTTGGGTGGGGACACAGAGCCAAACCATATCATTATGATTCTATATTACCTGGAGCACAGCTTAATTAATCAGTTTGGATCTTACCTTCTTGCTTAGGTCTTTTGTTTCTCAATGTTAAATGTGATCTTGACAAGGACAAGGGGCATATCTCAGCCATCATATACACAGCAGTGAGCTCAGTGCAGACACAAGCAGTCATAGTTCAAAAATATATGTAAAAGTAAAGAAATTTATATTAGAGTTAGGAATGAGAAGGGCACAGTCAATATCTTGAGCACAGGAAATGCTTCTTTCTTCAGCTATATACAGCCTTCATGATTTATTATTACCTTCCATTGGGAACTAAATTAAGAGTAAAAAGAGCTAAGAACTGAGGTTTAAGTTGTAGATTGATGACACTGTAAAATTTAACATTTTGAGGAATGAGCCTTGTGACAAATATTTTGGAAACTTGCACTTCAATAAACTATTATTTAGGAAAAAAATGGGGAAACACTAAGCATTTGGAAAATGAGAATGTATTTCTAGATTGATCTTACTTGAACTTTAGCAAATAAGCAAGCACAGTGATGTCAGAGTGTCTAGGATATCAATTATCAATTTTTACATAGAACTAATGACCAAGTAACCTTAAAAGTATATTGTACAAAGAATTCAGTACATATAGACACAAGTTAATTCTACTTGCATGTTTGTTCTCACAACTTTGAATTTTAAATGTATATTTTCCTTTTTACTCTTAGGTATTCTGAGAACAAATTTGACAAAGGAGATGGAAATTGTTCTAATGATGCTTCTAATTTAAGCATGTGCAACTTTTCTGTCTTTTTTTTTCTCTCTCTTTCTCTCTGTCTTTCTCTCTCTCTGTCTCTCTCTCAAAAATCCTTGTTTAGACAAAGATTGGTTTTGGGGGTTGGATGTATTTTTTTCACTACTTAATATATACGACTGACACACAGTAGGAACTTGATAAATATTTGTGGACAGATGTACATTTCTATTCCACCAAGGTAGGTCATGCATAGAAACAGAAGACATGGTTCTTATTTTGTAACTCATGATACCTGCATAACTAGAAAACCTCTAATACATACGCTCTAATCAGCTTCAGTAACATGCTTTCTGATAAAATTTGAAATATCTTCATTCTGTTTTCAGTCTAGCATTTAATAAAGATAAACTAATTACAAGGCCCTGTAAGTAAGCCAGCGTTGGTCTCTGTCCCTTAAGTCCAGAGACCAAACTGATATTATCATTGGCCACTCTGTTTCCTCTAATAGATCAGTTTGGACTTTGATTGTAATATAATAAAACATATTTTCTAGAAGACGTAATAATAAATATTGTCAACAAGAGAGAAATCAAGTATTTATCGAGCTGTTTGCAGAGTTTCCATTGAAAAAAGAATACTTAGCTGTAACAGCAATGTGTAAAATTTATGGGCATCCAATAATCTTAACATTTTAGAGTTGAACTTTTTAGAGTTTAAAGAGTCATTATTTCCAGGACCTTACATTTTTAAATAAGGAAATAAAATGTAGAGTGTTTGAGTGAGCAAGGACTCTTAGGTGGTTAGTCTCCAGAAGAGAATTCGTAACTCCTGGCTCCCCATTTAGCACCCATTTCAGTGCACCCCTACTGTGAGAGTACCCCATAATTTAATGAAATCCACATTCACACAAAATGTTAAACTAATTTGGCCATTAATGTAATGGAGAAAGAAATGTCTTAACATAAGTAACAATAATACAAGCAAATTGGTTCAAGAGACTGTGTTTTTCTTAATTGATAGAAAACCACAGCCTCTGTATAATGCATATATTGTGAAGCACGCGATAATGTAGAAATTTTCAGAACTTCAATGTAGATGATTCCATATTTCACAAGCCCTTGGCATTATGATAGGCCATATCTTTCTTGAGGTTGTGAATTTTATTTATCCCCATTTCTCTGCCTCTTCAATAGAATTTTTGTTTGTTCATTTGTTGTTGTTGTTTTTTCAAATCTAATGCAAATCCCTGTTTATGAAGGCTCTTTTGTGCCACCACCAACAAAATGGAAGGCTCTATGTTTGGGAGGCTGGTGTGCAATGTTATTATTGGATGTTGTGAATAATTTTTTAAAGCACTCCAGCATTTGAAAAGCAGTATATGAATCAATAAATAATTAAAATAATGATGATGATGACACAGGAAATCCTATGGGGAAAGTATTTCAAATCGAATCATTGAATTAGTCTTTCAGCATTTCAAGGTATCAACCAGAAAGGCAGACAATAGAACATATACAAATTAATATCTTGGTCAGGTAGAGGAGTTAAAAAAGTCCTTTAATAGAACTGAAAGTGTAGCTATTGATTTCTTAGGAGATAGGATTGCTAAAGGCTGAATTGCTTCTATGATTAAATCACAAGCTTCAGCTCTGGCATCAGTGTTTCCTTCAGTCAAAATCACAGAGGATATCTGCAGATCCCTAGAGCTGTTTCTCTGAGTAAACTAGTAAAACATAAATATTTCCCTGAGGGGTTTTAATCCAGTGCTAGATTAGCTGCCTGAAGTTCATCATTTCAGTTTTTCTTGGAGAGATCTATAGAAGCTAGTTACCCTCTTGACTTGCCCTTCTGTATCTGAGAATTAAAACGGATAACCGTTGAAACCTCTGCATTTATTTAGTGCACTGCAGGGCAAGATGGAAATGCAGGTTCCTAATGTATAAGCCTTTTACGCTTCCACCTTCTGGGTTAGATATTACTGCTTTTGGTGTTTGAAGATATTATATCCTAGAAAGGGAATGTATATATTTAGAGTTCAGAGTTCATTACCAAGCACCTTTTAAATCTTGTGAGTAAAATAAACCACCATTAAAAAAATGTTATGTAACAAATTGTACATACATCAAATCCCCAAAACCCAAAATGCAGCTTGCAATAATGAAATGATTAAAGTTAGTGGGGTGAAAGAGCAGCAGCTAAGGTTGTTAATCAAATACATTTACTGGGCAATCTCAACTGGTGGTATACAAACCCTGAGATAGTGTTATTTTCCTCCAATCATTGCCTTCAACCATGCTTCATTGATTGTTCTTTTCCTGATCCTTAATGACATCCTGGGAGATCCCATAGCTCTCCCATCACTTTCAGTTATTAAAAAGTGCAGTCTAGTCTTGTCCAATTTAAAACTTCAATTTCATCACCTTTTCTCCTCCCAGTGCTGACCAAGGACCATTGCATTTTCACTACTTTGCTCCTTACTGGATCAGACCACTCCATTGCTAATGTGGGAGGAGGCATTGCAGAAACAGCCAATACTCTTTTAATCTTGCTGGTGCTGTAAATAATGCTGTACAAAACAATGGCCAGCTATGGATGTCCTCTGGCAGGTAGCAAAGGCTGCTTTTCCAGAGCACAAGTGTAATTCTTTGGGGGCCATAAGGTCTTCTTTCCATCTCATAATCCCAGAGGCAGCAGATTCACTGGCTCTATTTCCTCTAACCTCCTTTCCTGACATTCCTCCTCCTCCATCCCCAAGGCTTCACCCCTAGTCTTATAACCTCTCTTCTCCTTGTGGCCATACATTCTTGAGAGGGGACCAGTAAGATGGCTCAAATCTGGGTACTGTTTGTACTATCTGCTGACTTATTAAAATCTGCTGTATTCTCACCACATTAAACTGTGGAAATTCAGCCTGCTCCATTGTTCTTATCTCTTTACTCTGTCTTTTCTAGGTAATTCTCTTTTCTGCCTGCTAAAATAGGCCCTAGAAGAAGATTGGTGGGTTCGTGACATAAACCAACTTTCATCCAAAAAACGAGATGCCAATCTTTCCTTCTGGAAAGGGTTGCCCCCTACTTGCCTACTGGGTTAGGGTGATTATATGTTTCAGTGTCCAAACCAGGTCACTTTTGAGAATAAGATATGGCTGTAGGCATAAAAACCTGTTTATTTTGGGGGAGAGGATAGGGCGGTAGGGATGGTTGGTGTGTGTAACACAGTGGGTTTGGCCACAATCAAGGTGTCTGTCACTCAATTACTTCTGCTTTAGTTTAGAATATTAGATGTTTGATGCCCCTTTTTCTTGGATTTCAACTTTTCATATCATTTATCGAGTAAGAGGAAAAAAACATATTCAACATCAACTTAAATATAGACATTTAACTGTACAAAATCAGATGTTTCAGGAGTCATGATTTACTATAAATTTAATGTAACCCAATTATTTTCAAGTAGCCACATGGCAAGAAGTGTGGTTTCCAGGACAAAGACCCTGACACTCCAAGACTATTGCCTTCTCAATAACTTTCATTCTATGAATATCTATTTTATCTCTCATGTTATTCATTATTTCCTCTCTACTGGCCAATTCTCCTCAACTTATGTAAATACTATAAAATACATTTTACCTTACTGAAAAGGCGATTCCACTCTTTGTGTCAACTACTGCACTATTTCTCTGCTCCTTTTCATTTCAGAACTTCTCAAAATAATTGTTTATGCACATTGTCAAACTTAACCTTCATTTTCTTTTCAGCCTTCCAAGATATCTCCCCTCTTCTCCACTCACATTGCTGTGTCATGATTACTAGTGGCCAAATCCAGTGGTTACCTCCATGTTTTCTTCTTGACTTCAGCAGAACTCAGGGAAGTCGGCCTTCCTTTCTTAATGTATTTCTTTATTTGTTCTCTGAAACATACATACTCTTGTTTTTCTTCTTACTTCAGTAGTAGTCCAGTTTGAATTTCTTTGGGGAGTTCTCCTTTTCCAAATCTTCAAATTATACAGTGATTCAGGGCTCATTTCTGGACCCTCTACTTTCCTTCTGTATACTCTTTTATTAGGTGATCCAGTCCTGTAGCTTAATATTTGATCTCTATATAGGTGATTTTCAACTGTACATTTCTAGCCCTGATCCCTCTAGTTTCATAGCCAATGGTGTTCTCCATACCTCCACTCTTGATTATCTTAAACCTTCTGTTCAAGAGAGAGTTCTTGGACAGTTTCTTCTGTATTCCTCAGATCAAGTAAATGAGTCCACAAGCAGCCCAGAAAATATCTTAGGAGTTAGTCCAAATTTTTCTCTTTCTCCTTCCTCCCGTGTCTAATCCATCAGTTGAGTCCAATAACTTTTATTCCAAAGTTTATTCATAACCTGTCCACATAATCTCTATCTTAAATGCTAACACCTTAGCCCAGATATTATAGGCTATCTTTAGCCAGGTTATATCTTGGTATTTCTGGTCATTTTAGTAGACAAGTAATCATTTCTATAAGTAAAAACTTCTACACAACTCATTTTCCCTGATATAAAAATATGGATATTTAATGCTCTTTAGGATGACTTTTATTTTAACTTTTTATTTTCCACATATTCCCATAACTTATTTCTTCTTTAGTGGGTAAAGCAAACAAAGACTATAAGCAAAAACCCCAAACTCCCTAGATCCAGGTTTGAGACTTAAAATCATTTAATAAATAAGTTAGCTCTCATTTATTATTTATTATAACAGTCATACTTTAGGTTATTTATACCATTAAAAATCTCTTGCATGTTAAAAACACTATGTGCTTACCTTGTCCTTTGATGACATAATGATGCCTTTATACTTTTACCCTGACTGTAATGGAGAGGAGTGGAATAGGATATCAAGGCTTTTAAAACACAAGCATATGCACAATGTGAGCCAAAGTAGAATACATATGATGGACATTGTGGTTCTTTCCCCAGATCTATTATTTTATTTCTTGGTAACTCCCCATACAACTTCTAAGAAGTGTTTTGGAGGAAATTGGCTTTATGTTTGGATCTGGGGTTGGGTCTAGTTGCCTAAAATCTAAGGCCATCAACAGAAACCTGTCCTTAGAAAGGCACAGATTCAAGAGTGGTTATTTGATTCCATTTGGGTTAATGGGACATGAGAAGAGGTTTTCCTGAGAACTTTGGGGAGACGAATTGACTATACTTCTGAGATAATTTCCAAGAGTGACTATCTTGTTGCATTGGAGTTAGATTCAGAATCAGGTAGTCCTGGCAGTTGATTGTAGTCATCTTGTGTTGGATAAATCAACCTTAGAATGAAGCAGAAATTCTGGGAGATGAATCCATGACAGAAAGAAAATGGATTCTTGGTAAGATCATCCTATCATCCTGCTGTAGAATTAAGTCACCTCTGAGGCATACCTTCCAAGCAAGAAAACCAATGTATCTCTTTTTATTAAACAAGTTTCAGCTGTGTTTTCCATTGGTTCCACTTGATTACCTCCTAAAAGGTAGAGTGAATTAGAGGAAAGGGTAAACAACTCTGTTCATTTTAGTGTGTCCAATAACCTGAGAGATAAAAACATTTTGCTTTTGAAAGAAACCAGAGCAGGAAAGAAATGAAGAAATTTGATAACTTTATGACTTCAATTCACTTGTAATGTTTTCACCATAGCCTCAATATTGTGTGAAGAATAAGCATCAGAAATTCGTGTTCATATGTTAATACAGGAATCATTATACAACATTGAAACTGTTTTCCCATTAATGAATTACTTCCCATTAATTAATTTCCAAGTAATGAGTTACTTTTGTTTGACCACAGTGTAAGCTATCCAGAAAACTGATTGATATGGTTTGGCTCTGTGTCTCCGCCAAAATCTCATCTTGAATTGTACTCCCATAATTCCCACATGTTATAGGAGGGACCTGGTGGGAAATAATTGAATCCTGGGGGCGGTTTCCCCATATTGTTCTCATGGTAGTGAATAAGTCTCATGAGATCTGATGGTTTTATAAGGGGTTTCTGCTTTCGCTTCCCTCTCATTCTCTCTTGCCGCCACCATGTAAAAAGTACCTTTCACCTTCCGCCATGATTGTGAGGCCTCCCCAGCCAGGTGGAACTGTGAGTCCATTAAAACTATTTTTCTTCCCAGTCTCGGGTATGTCTTTGTCAGCAGAGTGAACATGGACTAATACACTGATCAAAACTAGAAAGAAAGCACTGCCAAAATATGCTATTACCAAAGAAATAAAAAATTGTAAACTGAAGTTAAAAGTATATTTTAACAATATGATAAAAATAATGAGATCACTGAAAGCACACCATAATCAACCTCTATGCTTTACTGGCTTTGTTTAGGGGTGAGATGTCTCAAGAGCTATAAAGGCAAGCCTCTTAACCCAACATTTCTCCTCCTCCAATCTATTTGAACCTTATGTCCTTTTGAATGGGAAAGCCAAGTCATATTAATATCCACTTTTCTCCATTAATAGTATAAATTTAAATTTTTGAGGCGTACAGGGCTCAAAAAAATTCTTCAGTTAGAAAACTGATTCATTCAATCAAATTTGGGGGCTTTGAAAACTATTATCTCTATTTTGGTTTTAAGAATCCATTTGTCAGTCAAGATCTAGAATATGATACTTTTCTTTTTTTTTTTTTTTTTTTTTTTTTGAGATGCTCTGTTGTCCAGGCTGGAGTGCAGTGGAACCATCTCAGCTCACTGCAACCTGCCCCTCATGGATTCAAATGGTTCTCCCACCTCAGACTCCCAAGTAGCTGGGATTACAAGCATGCACCACCATGCCCGGCTAATTTTTATATTTTTAGTAGAGACGGTGTTTCACCATGGCAAGGCTGGTCTTGAACTCCTGACCTCAAGTGATCCTCCCACCTCGGCCTCCCAAAGCGCTGGGATTACAGGTGTGAGCCACTGTGCCTGGCCAGAGTACAACTCTTCCTAGTTTATCTCTCCTTGAAGTTAATACATCTCAGCGTTAAGGTCTAATTTTAGCTATGGAAGGACAAACCAAACAAACAAAACACTAAAAAAACCTTTGGGTTACTATTTCAAAATGCTAGCCTACTGTGGATACTTAGTTTATGTAAATCAGAGGTTTTATGGGTCCTCCCTTCTCTTCTTGGGTGGGAGTGGATTCTCATAATTCACTAGGTAGTTAGCAGTGTAAACTTAAATGTCTCTTCATTTATCCTCCACAAATGTTCCTCTGGGGTATGGGTTTCTCCACAGATGCTCTTTGGGACTGCTTTTTGGTGCTGTTGATTAACATTTGGATTTGCAAGTCATCATAGACCTAGTGGCTTTTCTTTCGTGGGCATTTTGGAGTGCATGGATGGAGCAGAGCTTCTCCATTTTTGCACCTTGTCATGCAGCCTCTGAAAGGCTAATGCACAAAACTGCAAGTATGTACGGTGGGAGAAGTTGCATGAGGATATTACAACATAGAAGGGAAAGAAAGCTCCAGACAGTTTGAACTCTCTTTTGAACTGGCTCTCCGAGGTCTTTACAGATGCGTCTTGATAAGAGGGGCACTCCCATGGTTACTTCCTCCTTTCCCGACCTGTTTTGTTGTTTATATACTTCATCCACCCCTTCAAGTTTCCCTGTCTGAAATTGGCCCCATCTGCCTCTTGAAAGATGCTGACCTTCCTGACAGGTGGAGCTATTAAATGTGTCTGGCTGGGCACAGTGGCTCACGCCTGTAATCCCAGCATTTTGGGAGGCCAAGGCAGGCAGATCACCTGAGGTCAGGAGTTCGAGACCAACCTGGCCAATATGGTGAAACCCCATCTCTACTAAAATACAAAAAATTAGCCAGGCATGGTGGCGTGTGCCTGTAGTCCCAGCTAGTCGGCTGAGGCATGAGTATCACTTGAAGCCAGGAGGCAGAGGTTGCAGTGAGCCAAGATCGTGCCACTGCACTCCAGCCTGAGCAACAGAGTGAGACTCCGTCTCAAAAAAACAAAACAAAACAAAACAAAAAAAGCAAAGCAAAACAAAACAAAAAGTCTGTATCTTTCCTGAGTCCCACAGTCTCAATGGTGCTCCCAGCATTGGGTAAGTCATCCTATATGTTTGCAAATTTGCAGTCTCCAGGCTCCAGTTCCCTGAAGGAAAGTTAAAGTGAATCCTTCAATTTTATGATCCTTCCCCCACCCCCCACCTCCCACTGGTGTTTTCACTGTTACACAAACTCCTAAGAAAGCTCATCTTAGAAATACAAACATTTTAAAATAATAAATGTAATTGTGTATATTTAAGGTATACAATATGATGTTATGGAATACATATACCATAGATAGTAAAATGGCTGCTATAGTGACTCAATTTAACATGTCCATTTTCTCATATAGTTACCTAATTTTTTTTGTTTTTGTGTCAAGAGCAGCTAAAATCTATTCATTTAGCAAGAATACCAAATACAGTATAATGTTATTAACAATAGCCCTCAAGTTGTATATTAGATCTGTAGACTTGTTCATCCTACGTATCTAAACTGTTTTTCCTATTTTACAGGTAGCATCATTTAAATCTAAATTGAGGAAAGAACATTCCTTCTGTTAGTAAAGCTAAGTGCTGCCAGTGAGTCGACAGCATTGTACACTGGAGCCCTTGGGGTCTGGCATCAGCCCAGAGACCTTAGTAGCTTTTAATGGTTGCATTCTCTGTTGAATGGGGAATGGCATGAGTCTTAATTCCTGGGATTCAGATTTTCCTCTGATGCAAAGGAAAGGGGTTGAAATTCCTGTCACCACATCTATATGGGAGTTCCTTTAAAGTCAAGCCAAAAGCTCATTTAATTAAAAAAAATTGCTTTTATTTCAACATAAAAGGTTTTTGACCTTAGGCAATTTATATTACTCCAAACGTAGTTTTGTTATTTAGCAACTGGCAATTATATAAGCTAGTCATTCTCCAAATATTGGGAAGCATTTAATATACAGCATTTTGTTTGTACCTCTAACTTAATCTTCACCTCATTCTACCTTGTGCTGTAATTACATAATTAGTCATGTATTAAGGATCTTTAATGAGACAATTTCTGCTAAGCATGGTGAGGGAAATATGTGATCTTCCCACCGTCCGGGAAGCATGTGCATACGGATGTATTTTTCTCTCTTCCACTAGGTGGCGACATCCTTGAAATGGGGGCCTTACTAATTATTGTATCTCCTATAACATGTAGCACAAAACCTTGTTCATCATCAATATCCAAAATAATTCAGAGATTAGCCACAAGAACGGAGGATGAAAAAATCATTTTCACAAAATTTGCAAGCCTATTACTGAAGTACATATCATCATACACTGACCTTTCTCTCAAAATGATCAGAGAATAGTTCAGATCTTTGACTCCTCTAGTCCAATCATAGACCTTGACATTTTAACCAGGAACAAAAATTAGTGTGGCTTTTTTATCATGGCTTGTTGCTTGTAATCAAGTTTCAGTCATTGCTTCTGGTCAATCAGAATTATCACCTCCCAGGACCTATAGGTGAGGGTTATTTTTTTTCAAAAGAAGTTCTCATAATTTCTTCAGTGTGTTTGTCTGCTTTTCTTTGTCTGGTATGATACTTTCCAGGCTGTGGATGCTTAACAAATGTTAAATGATAATTCTTTATTGACCTGACTGGGTTTTGGGAGCTCACAAAATTTTCAGGGAAGTGTTTTAAATGTTTTGTAATCTTTAGGATTTTAAAATAGAATTATGATGACCTTTCCAAAGCAAGAAAGCAGGAAGTTGCTGTAAGCTTAAGGCCAAGCAGTTAAAACTAATATGATTGGTCTCTTTTGGCTCATTAATTGCATCTAAGTGGATACAGAGAGCGGAAGCTTTTGTTAAATAACTGACACAGTTAATTCCAATTCGTAATATGTTCTGGGAATGGTATTATAATAAAACACAAAATGGCCTCCATGGTTTAAAATGGAGTGCAAAGTCAAGCAAATGCTGCATGGAGAGCCAAACTAATAACTCAGATTCTCCCCATATCCTCAGTGTCAGTGTAGATGCCAATTATGACGCTTATAAGCTTACGGTGGCTTCATTACTGCCAAGACCATAGGAAAGGAGATCCTGTCAGTAGCCCTATACCACAGGTATTTTCTATTGCTGCTGTAAAACAAAATGCCAAAAATGTAGTGACTTAAAACAACACAAATTTGTTATCCTACAGTTCTGGAAGTCAGAAGTCCCAAAGGGATCTTACTGGGCTAAAGTCAAAGTGTCAGTAGAGCTGTATTTCTTCTGGAGGCTCTAGGAAAGAATCTGTTTCCTTGCCTTTTCCAGTTTTTAGAGGCTTCTTACACTCTTCGGCTAATGGTATGATTCCTCCATCTCTAAGGTCAGCAGTATAGTATTTTCAAATCTGTCTCCTACTCTGACATCCCTGCCTCCTTCTTGTAGGGACCCTTATGACTGCCTTTGGCCCGACTGGATAATCTTCTGCTCTCAATATTCCTAACTTAAATTACATCTGCAGAGGCAAGGTTTCTTTTGCCATGTAAAGCAACATATTCACAGGTTTCAAGGATTAGAGCTTGGACATCTTTGATGGTGGGTGGGGGAAGAGGTCATTATTTTGCTTGTCATGTATTAAAAATAAAATTTCAAAGTATTTTAAAGAATAATTTTATATTATGATAATTTTCCAAGATGTAAGAGCAGATTATTGTTTCAATATAAAAATGATGAAATTAAAAATTGAGCAAACATGATGATCTGTGTTGTGGAAAAACAGGGTTTCCAATTGTCCTGGATTTTAATCATCTCAGTGCTGTGTATTTACTGTGTATATTTTCTGAGATAATGAGCTATAATGCCTGCCTCATAAGATTCTTTGGAAAGCCTTATGCTGTTTTTTGCATTGACACCTAGCATGGTAATTCTTCATTAACATTAAGGGAGAACTGAAGTTTTAACCATTAATTCTCAGTCAATATATTGTCTGATAAGTACTTGAGTTGGTCAGTAAGTGACATCCATACTAGCATTTGGGATGGCCTTGGTGTGGCCCTGAGAAGTAGGATGCACAAATGTTCTATGCATACTATCTCTTATTTACTAGGATAAGATAGGCCAGTGAAAAAACAATATTCCATTTGACTAACTCCACTACTTGCTGGAAAGCTGTAGTTTCAAAGCCTTGATCAGAAAGAAATGCAAAGCTGAATGTTTAATATCAGAGAGTATCAGGTCTATGATCTCACAGGTTAGTGACTGAACATTAATCATGTTAATATCTTCAATTAAATAGATTCTGTTGAAAAAGTAGAATGAATGAGAGCCAATATGGTGTTTTAGTCAGTTAATAAATAGATTGTTGTTATATCCAGGACAAAATGGATGAAAATTGAATTCCACATGATAAAATATTATTAGTTTTAACCTTAAGATAGATTATCAAGTACTTGCTGTCAAAAATTCTTTTACATCTAATTTTTCCTCTCTTGGTTTTGCCTGTATAAATAAATAGATTCCATTTCCTCTGTATTCCATTAGAATTTATCTAAAGTCTGAAGTCCTGATCTAATACTGTAATTTTATCTGTCATTTGATGTCGAGTTATTAAAATTTGTTTGAAAATACAGTATGCACACTTTGGATGGCATCCTTATGTATCCTTTTAATCTAGAAATGTATTTTTTAATATTTTGGTTGGTCATAATTTGTCAAGATAAAATGGGCTATGATTAGAGAAACTATATGTACTACTACATTTCTAATTTTAATAATGCATAAAATCATATGTATTAATGTATTAGGAATTTGATTGAGTGCTTCAGGTAAAGGCTCATCTTATATAATACATTTTGATTTTGTTACTCCATCAGTTATATACAATTATTAATTTTTTACCATTGCATACATTTGTGTAACTGTGCCATCTAATAGCTAATAAGGTAATAAAGAAATCATTAGCCTTTCTTTGGAAAGATATCTAAGCTGGTGAACTATAAAACTCTGAGTTCGTCTAAGTGTCACTTGGAGTTCTGGGGGTTGTCTCTCTTTTGAATTCAGAAATCATAAATTGAATATCTTGATATAGTCGAGTAAGCGGGAAATGAGCACTGCTTTTGCAATTGACTCGTAGATATGATCCTAAGCAGGAGGACAAGGATGAAGAGGGTAAGAACGAATAATAAATGTGTTTGAAAATGAGATTTAACATTTAGAGTACCAAAATTTTTCTAGTACTTTAAAGAATCAGTTTCTTTTTATTTTACCCTGTTTCCTAAAGAATAGACTATATGACTAATAGATTATTTCATTCTAATCAATTATTATTCTATCTTGAAATAAAACATAAAGTCTTTAGAAATATTTCCTGCTGTAATAATATGCCCAAATAGGCTACAGTTTCCACGGATAAACCCATATTTTTCCTCAATACTTTCTTCCAATAATATTTAGTCAATATATTTTTTAAAATATTTTCAAAAATTTACATTGTTATCTTGACATTGGAGCTTAGTGATTTCAATTACAAACAAATGAAAATGGAACCAGAAGTATGTTTTACAGGGTGAAAAATTTCTTTACGACTTCAGCTATTTTTCAGGCTTAAACTTTCCTTTCATTTTTTTTCTTTAAGGATTCTGAAGAATTCCAGCTTCCCTACTGTTGTGTCTTACATAGATTCATGTTGAATATGTATTTCCCAGCATCTAGAGATGCTGATTCAGTGTAGTTGGTGACAGGTGTCTCAATGACAAAGGCAGGAGGCCTTTAAAATCTTCAGTTTGGGAGTGTCAGGATGGGTATGACATAGGCCCATGCTGACAATCTGAAATGAAGGCTCTTGGCATAATTGCTTTTCATTCAAAAGTTAAGAAAATGCAGCTGCGTCCTCTTCACCTCCAATTCCTGCAATCTCTATGCATAGAATGAAGAACTGCCTGCTTCACTGCTGAATTCTCTTCCTTCCTTCTTTAAAGAACTAAAGATCAATGAACTTAGTGCTATTCTGGTCCTTACTAAACTTGGCCTGGCTAAAATAATCAATTTAGCTAAAAAAAATTCTAATATACAGAGAAAGACTTTGTGTTCTTATTTATAAGAGACCAAATATCTCTTTCCTTCCAGTGACAGGGGCACACAGGCACTGCAGCACAACCTCAGGCAAAATAGAAAAAGAAAGGAGAAAGAAAGCACTGCCTTTCTCCAGAAATGACTCATGATATTTATTCAGATGACAGGAAGAATAAATTAGTTGAAGATTTATAGGAGCCTATTAACTCTTGTGCATGAGTTGTAGGTTAATTGAACTATAACAGTATGTTAATTCAAGAATTACTTAGAAATGCATGACCCCCACCCCCCAAAAAAATGTATGGGTAAGCACACATGTTAATCATTAAAAAAAATCCTAATTTAAGAAAAACAATAGTAGTCTGCAAGGGGTTAAAAATCAGGGTATAATCAAAATAGCGCTGTATTTCTTCCCATGGATTAATTACTTACATATTTTCTCTCCGAATTTAACTGTACACATATACAACACTTCATAATTTGGTAAGAAAGCTTTTATCATAATGACTTCCTGCACAGAACTTTGAATTGTTGAATAAAAGCTCTCTATACATGAACATCATTATAACCTTCGGGCTTCTGGATAATTTGAATTGGTTTTACAATCCACAGTTGGGTAGTGTAAAAGGAGCCTCTGACGGCCGTAGGAGCAGCCTTGACAACTGTCAGCCTACCACACACCCAGAGCAATATCTCTGAATTTTATCGCTGTCAAGAACAAATCATAGGTAAATGGATACCAATTCTGATAACGAAGCAGGCTGAAATGGTCCAAGACCTTCTTACTAAATTTAAAGGAAGGCAACATCAGAGCCAAATAACTATTGCCCAACCAACATTTTTCTTTTTGATTACACTGTGGTAAGGCAGACAGACAGGTAGGTTTACAAGTGCATTGAAGTTAGTGGTGAGCTTTCCATACAAATATATAACAAAATAAGTATCCTCATGTGGGCATTTGCAGGGTAAAACATGGGGTAATTTGAGGTATATAACTCTTTAAGTCACTGCTATTATCAACTACCTGTGGTTGGGTTAAATAACTAGCTTCTACTGAAAGAAAAGCTCTTACCTTTTGAGCGGCACATTATGTTTTGTGATACATAAATCAAAAACTCCAGTGTAATCCTTGAATGTTATTTTCAGGTGGTTCATTTCTTTCTCCCTTCTACTCTCTTTTATTTCTATTTGTGGCAAGTGGATATGATAGCTCGAGTATTAAGACCTGTGATTATGAAAAACTTGCAGATGGGACTGTTTATTTAAGTGGCATTTACAGATTTCGACTTAGTAGATCCGGAGAAGTAATATTGCACTGACCTCTGTGATTGTGAACTAAACGGCCTTTGAAAGTCCTTGAAGATTTAGTATCAGCTTTCCACTTGACAAATGTACTGTCCTGTTTATAGATGACCAAACTCTGAGTAGCTTTCATTAAAATATAATAACATCATCCAAAATGAACTAAGCCATAGGTTTAATCAGGGTTTCTGTTATGTAATTTCAGAGGGCAAGTCAACAGCTCTACATTCTCTTCAAAGTGTGGATTCCAATGGACTATGACATTTGAGGAATGCTTTTGTACCCTGTATTTTCTCAGCATACCAGCTGCAGAGTGATTAGTGAATCATTTTAGGATATTACATACTAATTGCTAAAATGATTAAGGCTCTTTCCTCTCCTATACTCAATCCCTTAACCCATCATTTTCCACTTTCACAATTTAAACACAGATTATCCAAATTTTGGTTTACTAACATGCTCATTTAGCTGAAGATCAATTTTGTTTCTGAAAGATTCGTATGGGTTTTCTTGATCTTTTGCAACTAGGATTGCAAACCACCATTCTTGGCTAAATGGATAGAGGGAGAGAGAGAAAGGAGATAGAGAGTGAGAGAGAGAGAGAGAGAGAATAACTTTGCCTTCTTGGGGCTCAGACTTGGAGCTAAACTATCTCATCAAGAACTGCACAGCGAGTGCGGTGGCTCACGCTTGTAATCCCAGCACTTTGGGAGGCCGAGGCAGGCAGATGACCTGAGGTTGGGAGTTCGAGACCAGCCTGACCAACATGGAGAAACCTCATCTCTACTAAAAATACAAAATTAGGCGGGCGTGGTGGCGCATGCTTATAATCCTAGCTACTTGAGAGGCTGAGGCAGGAAAATCCCTTGAACCTAGGAGGCAGAGGTTATGGTGAACTGAGATCATGCCATTGCACTTCTGCCTGGGCAACAAGAGTGAAAGTCCATTTCAAAAACAAAACAAAACAAAACAAAACAAAACAAAAACAGAAAAAACAAAGAAAAGAATGACACTGAAGCCTAAACCTGAAGAGATTACTGGTTTTCTCTTCCAAGGATAAACTTTATAACATCTTTACACTAAGTAACATTCCAGACAGACGGAGAGAGCAAGACAATTACATTTTTTAAAAACTATTTGAGAATCTCTTTTTTTTTTTCAAACAGTGGTTTTTACACAAAACATTCTCAGAATCTGAATATCAGTGTGTTCATACAACCCTGATAATATACTCATCTCCAGAGATAAGAAAATGCTACTGCATTCTTGAGAGCCAAGAAAAAATTCTGACTGATAAAATGGTCAAACAGGGCTTGATAACAATTTATTTCTGACCTTTTAATGCCTTCTCTTCTTAATGATTTTCTGTCATTTCTGTCTAGTCTAGACTTGAAACTCAGTCTCAGAGGTGCTTAGCTTTATGTTGCCACTTAACTTTCAACTTCCATTTTCAGCACAGAAAGGTAAATCAGTAATTGTCACTCTGGCTTCTCAAGGTTTGTCAGGCACCCGAATGGGATTATGACATAGATCTGAAGGGTATTTCATGTGACTTTTACTTTAATTTTCACAAAATCATGGAAATGCCTTAGGACTTCAGGAACTCAATTATCCTGATAGCCTCACTTCTTTTATTTGTATTTTTGTTTGACTACTTTGGTTCTTTCTGTCCCCTGACCTGTCAAAAAGTGATTAAAAAAAAGAAGAAGAAATTAAGGGACATCTTCACTGAGTTGCTTTCTTGGCTGACGGTTGTCTCTTTCTCAATGCTATCCTTTTTTTTTTTCTTTTGTTTTATTTCCAAGAAGATGATGTGTGCATTTCTTTAGTTTGGGCCTCGTGGCACATACATAAAACTGAAGGAACCACCCTCGGAGAAAGTGTATTGTCCTGTATTTCAGAATGTTTTAAAATCTGATTTGTACATTATCAAATGGAGCCCTGTGAGACAAAAACCCACCTAGAGATCTTCTTTGGAAGAGAGAAATAAGAAAAATGAGTCTCAAAGAAATCACCAATGGAGAGTTAAAACTTATGCTTTCCAATACATTTATCCACATTGATTTGTCTACAGATCTATGTATATAGATTGTTGAGTGTCAGTCAAAACTTCTTCCTTTATAAGTGAAAGCAGCTGAACTCGAACCAGCTTAAGCCAGAGCATCTCTATGTATGGCTGGATTCAGGACCTCAAGCAGCTTGCCAATTCTCTCCTGTTCTTTTTTGCCCACTCTTTCCTCTTTCGTTCTCCTCTTCTTGCCTGTGGGCTTTCTGTGTGTTGCCCTTATTCTCTTCTGCTAATGATTGGCTCTGTTTATATGATGGGAAAGATAGCTGCTGGCAGCTCTAGTGCAAAAACAAGAGACCTTCTTCTCCAGGATTCCTATTGCCTCTTAGAGGGAAGTAGTCAAACTGGTCCAAAAAGGGTTCCATGGCCACCCCTTGGCTCAGTCGTATTAGATAAGGGGTTGACAGCCTGGATCAAGTGCTCATCTCTGCTGACAGGTGATGGACTATACCTGTGATTGATTGTCCTACGATATAAGATGGGGGAATGGTAGCTCATCAAAGAAAGATTGGTGTGCTGCTTCCAGCATGAGCAGTGCAAGAAAGCATGTTGGGAAAGCCATGATTACAAAACACAGATCTCTGTTTATTGCTACATGTATAACCAACCAATCACATTCCTGGGGGGGGGGGGAGTATTTGATTTTTTTTTTCCTTTGAAAACCTTTTCAAAGGCAGGACACGGTGGCTCACACCTGTAATACCAGCACCTTGGGAGGCTGAGGCGGGCAGATCACTTGAGCTCAGGAGTTTGAGACCAGCCTGGCCAACATGGTGAAACCTGTTTCCACTAAAAATACAAAAATTAGCAAGCCCTGGTGGTGCACGCCTGTATTCCTAGCTACCTGAGAGGGTGAGAATCGCTTGAACCCAGGATGTGTAGGTTACAGTCAGTCAAGATCACACCACTGCACTCCAGCCTGGGCAACAGAGTAAGACTCTGTCTCAAAAAAAAAAAAAAAAAAAAAAGGAAATGTTTTCATAGAATGCATATATGATTATCTGGTTTTTTGCCTATAATGTATTTGATGGCTATATTCTGTGGCATAGACATGGGAAAATTGAACTACTACTTATTCTCATCTTTACTCAAATATAGACAACATTTACTGAATACCTTTTATAGACGGACAATGACTCCAGGCGCTACTATTTACTTTTTATCATAACAAGCAACAAGGACACTTTGCATTTTCATGGTGGTTTCATTTACTTTTCATCACAACAAGTAATAAGAACAGTTTACATTTTCATTGCGGTTTCATATCTGTTGTCTTAAGAATTCTCCAGTAAATGTATTTATTCTGCTAAAAATAAAAGTCATGAAGTTATAAGGTAACTTGTTTATGATTACCTGTGCTAAGTTTTACCATAGTTAAAAATAGCTATTTATAACAAAAATCATATGAGATCTAAAAAGTATATATATTATATATATATTTAAGCTTAGTATTATGAATAATAGAAAAGGACCTTAAGATCATCCTCCTGAACAGTTATTGTCCTTGAGTCTTGTTTCAAGACCTCATTGATACATTGTTAACACTTAGATCAATAAACAATTATTGTTCTTTGTGAGATGCTGAGAGTAGATTTGGAGAGTTTACAGATAAGAGGAATCCTTTACTAGGAGCTGTCAAATGTCAAAATAACAACTAACATGTATTCTATCTATCTATCTATCTATCTATCTATCTATCTATCTATCTATCTATCTAACATCTATCTATCTATCTATCTATCATTTTCATCTACCTAATCTGTATCTGTAAGTCCTGAAATACCTGTATACATCTATTAACGGAAGTTATATAAAAAATATTTGAATTTTTTTCTTTCTGCAGATTTCCACGGGGGGCAGAGATGATTTTCCTGGCTCTGGGCCTCATGGTGAGTTACAGTTATGATGGGGACAGCAGGCGCCTGTACCTCTGTTTAATAGAAAGCACAGTACCAGCAGAGATTTTCTAACTCTGCATTTAAAATCCCCCAATAGTTATTATTACCTCTTAAAACCATTTGAGCATTAGTGCCAAATCAAGTGGAATAGTTTCATTTAAATAATTTAAGGTGCTGACTGATGTTCTCACATTGGTCGTAATAAATAATATTATTAATTTTGCGAAAGAGAGGAGAATCAGAATATTGTGAATTTGGTTCTCTGTCAACTGAAAAGTAATTTGAAACGGATTAAAGGAGCAGGTTTTCCTCCTCCAGGTTTGACTCCCCATGTATCCCACCTCTAGTCCTTTCATAGAAACCCCACCCTTTGTGCATGGCTCCGTGTACCTGCCCCTGCAGTGTGGCATCCTGTGGTGGGAAGGTTTAGTCTTCTGTGGAACAGGCTTATTGACCAGCAGGGTTTGCTCACTCAAGTGTAAAGACATTCTGATTCTTTCCCTTGGGCTTCCTTTTCCTTCCTGAGAAAACACTTATGAAGAATTCTTTTGCCCCTCTTATTGTGCTTCCAATCAATCTTTCATTTGATATGATATGAAAAAAAAGGAAAAAGAATCTTAAGACAATTCCAAGGAAAGAACTCTCTATATACAGTAGCTACTCTTCCCTGTTTACATGATCTGTATTTAATCTGTGCAGCATGAGACAGCCATCTCAACTCTATGTTTGAGAATAAAAGTTTGAGGTTATTTTGCTCTTTTCTGTACTGCCAATGAACATTAAAATATCACTATGTTTCTCAAAATTCTAATCACAAAAATTACTTGAAAATATAGATTTCCAGTGTCCTCTTTGAAATTTGGGATTAGTAAATCCAGAGTGGGGCTTGGAGACAGTATTTAATAATATCCCAGGAAAATCTTGTATTTTTAAAAATATCCCCAGGTGACTTTAGTTTGGAAAATATTGAATTACATTCAATAATTTGACAAGTTATTGACAGTTACACTAGCTGATGTTCTGAGGTGAATATCAGCACTTATTATTCTGTTTTTCCTTCTCATATTTTAGGTTTCACACTACCTTTGTAATTTCTCTTGGAGCCTTTCATTACAGAACTAAAGTTGCCTCTGCTCAGCTGTATTCTTCTTTGAGGTGAAGTTTGAGGGTCTTTGATTACTCATGACAGCCTAGAAGAGAGGAGAGGACAACCAGAATTAAAGGGCAGTTGCTACAATATGGCTGATCTAGTGCTAAGGATGAGGACCAACAGGAAGTAACATGCTTTGATAAATGTATAATGAAAAATTTACTTGCAGAGGAAACAATGCTGGAAATGGCTAGAAGCCAAGAACATCTGTGTTCCTGGTATCCTAAATGTGTAGAAGGAGCAGATGTAACTGGATATATAACAGAGAGCCTGGCACAATTCCTAACCATGTGGAGGAGGGCTGTGGATGTGCACAGACGGCTTTCTGAAGCCCAGAAAAAAAATTTTAAAAATGCTGGGGAACTCCCAAATAATATTATTAGCTATCTTGAGGACAGACAGATATTATTAGAGCAGTTTAATACAATAAAGACAGCTTATTCAAATAAGAGAAAGGGAAGTTATTTATTGCACACAACTGAGAAGACTACTCAGGAAATACTTTGTATATAAATACAACAATACAATTACAAGTAAGCATAAATATGAGATATAAAGTAAAAGACTTGCTTCTTATACCCCCTAAGAACTATAAGCTCTTTCAAGCCTAGCACATAATCTTAGCTTTACTAAGTAGTTAATACTTTTTATGAGCTCAGCTAGTAGTTCTAAGAATGACTGGGCAGAAGTACCTAGAAAATAGAATAAAATGTAAAATACAATCTAGGAAGAGCCAGATGATATCAGCTGCTATTTTTCTTAATCCATTATATCAAGAAAAATTCTTTTAATGCTTTTTATAGGTGAGGATCTGGGTAGGCCACAGTAGTTGGCAGAATTTTAATATTGTATATGTAGTTAGGGTGGACACACAAGACTCCTTCCCTGACTACCTTCCAGCTAGGATTGGACTGGCCGTGTGACACAATTCTGACCAATGAGATGTAGGTGGAATTCTGTCAGGTTAGTTTTTGTTTTCCTGATAAAAATGGATAGACTAGGTTGGCATGTCCCTTAGCCCCTCCTTCTTGCCTATGATGTGGACATGATACTGAAGGTGCAGCAGTTATGCTATGAGGTGATAATCAAAAGGATGAGACAGATAATCTAAACACGGCAACCTGAGCATGACAGAGTGGAAGGCTCTGCTGAGTCCTTAATGACCACTGCACTGGCATTGGACTACTATCTCTGAACTTTTGTTTATGTGAGAAAAAAACTCACTAATTTATTTAAGCTACTCTTCGTCATTATTTCGTAACTACTCTGTGCTAAACATTTTAAAATTCTGGGTTGGGGAAATACTGCCGTATTCTTGTTTGCAAGAATTTTTAGTGTTGAAAGACACAGTGTGAACCCAAATATAATAAAACTATTCAAAAGCTAATGCTCTATTTTACATAGAAGAAATGCAATGGTGGCAACCAAATGTAAGATAGTGGTGCTACTTTGGCACTAGAATATACTTGGAATGCTGCTTTCACATTTGGATAACCTGCCAAAAGGATACTGAAAAATCAGAAAGCATCCAGAGGTGTGATCAGGGTTGGTGAGGGGCTTGAATAGCATTTCAAAATGAAAATAATTACTGCAAATTGGGAAAGTTAAGTGTTAAACAATGAAAACAGAAAAAAATAAAATTAAAAAAAAAACTTATAATTCCCAAATCCTTGAAATGGTTTCAAATAGAGGAAGTAAACTTCTTATAGTCTTCACTAAAGAGTAATATTAGGATCGATAAAAATAATGGGAAAGAAGATTTCTGCTAGATGATAAACAAATACTTCCTGAGAGTTATACCCTCTAACAAGGAATGTGCTGTGTCATCTTTTGAGATAAACACTCCACTGGATAAACCTTTGCTGTAGGAAGAGTGTGAATCTCATTGATTTTTGAAGATCAGGAATCCAAAGCATAAAAGTTCCTTGATAATATCTATGTAATGAATGAATGAATTCTATTCATTTATTTAAGCTCAAATATCATTAGGATCTAAATTTCTGTACAATCAGAATATATGCATACTAACTGTTAGTTTCCTACCTCCACTATCTAGTTACGTTGCCTCACGTGGATATATAAGATAAAGCATCCAGCCAAGTGAGGGAATAATGCATACTGACTACTCAGGAAGTAGCACTGCAGATGCCACACTCTTGGTAAGACTAGCCTTGGGGCTAAAGACAGTATAAGCTCAGAATGCTTAAAGCAAGTCTGGAAGACATCTTGTCTCTTAAAGTCCTACTCCCATATATCCATTATGGAGATTATGGCTCATGAAAGGGTATAAAAATGATTATTATTTTTTTCCCTCTAGTCTCTACTGGATGTGAAGCACAAGCTTCGGTTGCTGCATCTAGTCTCAGAAATTGATTCAAAGAGTTACTTACGCTTTCAGGACATAATCCTCTGAAACAGTTCTAGCATCAGTTTTTGCTATTGTGTGCTGTCTATTATTTGGGTTTCTGTCAAACAGACAAGATGTCATGTTTCTTTGCTTCAAATTGCTGCATATTATCTATCCCCTGGTGAACTTCTTTTCCACATGTTCATATTTAAGTAGGAATAGAGGTGAATACATAAAGTTGAATGCTTGAATTGTTTTTAAAAGGCCAATTCAGAATATTTTTAAAAGTATTTTAGTGTGTCAAATGTGAACTGACACACAGTATGTTGCTCACAGCAAGCTGAAAAATCTTTAGTATATGAACTTTTTATATGACTTAGTAACTAACAATTCAAAAATGTAAACCTGACTGTTTTATAATGAATGTTTTTGGAAACACATTTGCAATCTATTCTTTACCCAACAAGCTTGGAAATGAATGTCTTGGGCATTATCTTTTCTTCACTTGGCAAGCGTAGCTGCAGACAACATTTCCACTTGTCCAAAGAGTTTCTTTGTTGATATAACGTCCCTCAATTTTTAGTGAGGATTTTCTTTCTTTTTGGAAGAAACCCTAAAAGGGGTTTAAGCTGCTTTGTTACAGTGCTGGAGTTTATCATTAGTCCTCATTATCCATATATTTGTCAAGAATGTTGCTTACATAGGGGTAAATAATTTCATTTTATTCCAATATAGTTTTGACATTTATTTAAGAATAGCCAATTCTCAATTTCCCAGAGTAATGTAGAAAAGCCCAGTCACAGATTAGCCAAGAAATGTATTAGAATATGCAAAATATGTTATTTAGTAATTAACATATTCATCATTCAAGTAGAAACTAGCATTCTGCAGTTTTGTTCAGCTATAACTGGAAAGTGCTGAAATTTCAAGTATAGTTATAACAATCAGTGGTATAGATACAGCAAAATGTATTTTTAGTCAAAAGAATACAAAAGCAATGATAAACATAACCCAAAAATGCTTTAAAAAACAATTGCTATCTATCTACTTTTTTTGTTTGGTTTGCACACAGCTGCTGGTGGGTTTTCATGGGTGAGGAAGTGGGAGGACAGGTGGTATTACTATTATTGGGGCACTGACATGGTTGTCAGTGAGGGATGAGGGAAGAGGGAACCAGGAAATAAGACAGCTCCATAAGATAGGGATAGGGAAACAGAATGATCTGGCAGTGAATGAAAGCTATGGGAGAGAATAAGAAGGAAGAAAAGAAATTGAGAGTCACTGAGTACATACCAATGCCTACACAGTACTTGATGTTTTACAATTGTGACCTCATTTCATAGCAATATCAACTCTTTGAAGTAGGTAGTCCCTCCCCAATTTGTAGATAAGAAAATAAAAACTCAGAGAGATGAGGAAATCCACAGATTTACAAAGCCAAGTGGAAAATTAAGATTAGTTTTGATTCCTATGAGACACCTAAACAGATATGATAAGTAGACAATTAAGTGTATAGTTGGGAAATAGGGGGAGATGAAAAGGATGGAGGTAGAAATTTGGGAGATATCAGAGGAAAGATCATGATTATGTCATGTGTCTTGAGATCATCTAAGGTAGGAATAGAAATAGAGAGGAAACCATGAACTGTAGCTCTCTCAGCCTGGTTCCAAAGATGATTAAGCAATTCCACATAAACTCTAATATTATCTTGACCACTTGAGGATTTTTATTATGAATATGTGGAAGATTTCATTTTTCAATGCATCTACTCCTCCTCCCCTGTCTTTATTTTCCTATTAAAGAGAGAAGTACAGGCGGGGCACAGTGGCTCATGCCTGTAATCCCAGCACTTTGGGAGGCTGAGGCGGGTGGATTACCTGAAGTCAGGAGTTCGAGACCAGCCTGGCCAGTATGGTGAAACCCCGTCTCTACTAAAAATACAAAACATTAGCTGGGCATGGTGGTGGGTTACTGTAATCCCAGCTACTCAGGAGGCTGAGGCAGGATAATCGCTTGAACCCAGGAGGCAGAGGTTGCAGTGAGCCGAGATCATGTACTGCACTCCAGTCTGGGTGATAGAGACAGACCCCGTCTGAAAAAAAAAAAAACAAAAAAACAAAAAAAGACAGAAGTACAAAAAATTCCGTTCTAGCCCAGTCTGTGTCCAGAAGGTGTGAAGGTTCGTGGGGCTGGTGGTGGTGGGCATAGGACTCAGATTTAGTGTCAAAAACTTGTTTTCACTGTAACATATGTAGGAATTAAAATTATAAAGGCAAAATTAAGGGATAAACCAAAAGATGAAGGACAATAAAAGTGACACAAAACAAAGTGTTATGACCAATGCATAAATATGACCAAAGGAAAAAAAAAGACCCACTGGACAAAAATTGATGATAAATGAATAACACACTAGAACAAACATTTTCTAGCATGTTGCATGACTCTTAGTAAGACAAAGACAAATAAGGAGGTAAACCAGCTCTTCTCAGTATATATGAGATCATATTACAACATCTTCTAGCCTGGTCTCTCCACTTGATGAAACAAGTTGGAAAATCATGGAGGAAATAGAGAAAGCAAAAAAACTCTGTATCTTCTAAGGCAAGGATAAACAAATTATCATAATACCATCAGGAATAAGAATAATAAGAACATAATTTATAAGAATTTAATAATATATTTGAAAGGATAAATTAAGGAGGATAGTAAATAATTATTCTCCATATTATCAGGAAAATAGATTTACATTGCTTGAAGTCAGAGTCAGATTTAAAGAAAAAATACTTTCTAGCAGTAGCCATTAGTTGACAAAGTTGTGAGGCACAATTTTGGATAAGCAGGTCCTGAAATGTCCAAAAGTGATTAATTGAATAGAGTTAAATGTGTCTAATTTCCCTTGCCCTTGTCCATGTTCAGGTACCTGCATCCTTAGGCATTTCTCTTTTCCCAGATTCTTTATTTTGTGTCTAGTTTTTGCTCATATTGGCTGCCAATGAATTTTCTCCTAAGAAGTTGACTGCTAGGTTATTAGAGACAGGGATAGTGAATGGAAAGATTACTAGAACAGAAAACAGTGGTTGTGTTTCCAGTCCTGGTTCTTACTAATTTCCTGTGTGTTGGTTTTAACAATTATAAAATAAGGGAGCTTCATGGAATACTATGCAGCCATAAAAAACAGTGAGATCATAGCTTTTGTGGGAACATAGTTGGAGCTGGAGGCCATTATCCTTAGCAAACTAATGCAGAAATAGAAAACCAAATACCACATGTTCTCACTTTTAAGTGGGAGCTAAATGACTTGATTGACAAGTGCTATGTGATGTTAGTGATCCTGGAGAAAGTAAAATGCAGTCAACATTTGGCACAAGGGGTTTCAAGAACGCAATAGCCTATGTAGAAATGAGGGAAAGTGAGATGAGCAGAGAAATGTCCCAACTTGTTTAGGAAACAGCCAGGGTATGACCCTAGGATCCACCGGAGGTGAAAGAAGACAGGCAAAACTTCCGTCATGGGACAAGAGGACATAACTACTTTTTCTGTACAAAGAAGCTTGTCAGCTATGTAGGGAAGACTCTTATTTTAAGTGGAAGCTAGTGCTGAGACATTTTCAGTTTCCAAATATGTTAAAGGAGGTCTCCTTCTGAAGAAGAGAATGAGATGAGATTAAGTGGGGCTTCAGGAGAAAATGGGCTAGTAGTAAAGAGATGATGTCTTTTCAATGGTAGAAGAAAAGAAAAATGCTGGGGAAACTGAGATGTCCTTCTACAAGATTTGAGAGGAAAATAGTGTGCCCCAGCGAGGGTGCTCATGTTTGAGGCTTTCCATGCTGCTGATAACATGTAGACTGGAAGTGTGGTGTATGTCTTCTAAGCCTCAAAACTCATCGCCATTATGCTCTGTGGATTCTTCATGCTCAATGAGTGTTTAGAAGGTTAGAATTCCAGGACAATTTACTCTTATCTTATACCATGTTGATGGTATGCTGGTTTCTGAGTAGCAGATAGCCTTGTTATTCATTCAAGAACTAGTGAGTATCTATCACTTGTTAGATTCTCTGTTAGGTAAGTAAAATCAGATATGCCCATACTTTGAGGAAGTGTAGACTAGGAATAGAGGCACACATTAGTTTCATGTTTTAAAACTAAATGTACAATTACAAAGTGTTATAAGTGTCAAGGGACATAGTGTCATGAGAATCTTCTGACATTATCTGATAATGATTGACTGGCTGACTATTCAGGAACAGCCAGCTGTTGACTTGTAGCTGGCAGGCTATTCAGTAACTTCATTGGCTAGTTTTGTTCCTGGGCAATTTACCACATGTTGCTTCAGTTTCCTCTTTGGCAAAATGGGATAAATAAGATGATCTACTTCATAGGGTGTTAAAATGGTATCTAGCATATGCTAAACATTCAATGTATTTTAGCTATTGTTTCAGTTCATTGGGGCTGCTATGAAAAAATATCATCTACTGGGTAGTTCATAAGCAACAGAGATTTAATTCTCATAGTACTGGAGGCTGGGAAGTCCACGATCAAAATGGTGGCAGATTTGGTGTCTGGCGAGGGCCCACTTTTCTGGTTCGTATAAAACACCTGATTGCTGTGTCCTCACATAGTAGAAGAAGCCAGGAGATTCTCTCAGGCCTCTTTCATAAGAACCCTAATCCCATTCACGAGGGCACCACTCTTATAATTTACTGCCCCAAAGCCCTGTGAACTAATACCTTCACTTTGGGGGTTTAGACTTCAACATATGGATTTCGAAGGGACTTAAACATTCAGACCATAGCAGCTGTTATATTGTTATTATTATTTTAGTGAACCAGAGTCCTACTCCTTGCAGTTATTCTCTTAAGAAGATCCATTCTCTCATGCTTCTTTTGAGCATTTTCTTTGGTTTGCTGTCACATAAAAATCTGGAATAAAGAGCACAAAGATAGTGGAACTTGAAACATTAATTATATTGTGATTATTTCTTAGCATAATAAAAAAACAAGAGAATGATCCTTTTGTTATCTATTCTCATTCTCTCATTCATGCTTTCCTTCATCCATATATCAAACATTCCCTGAGAAAATAAAGCTAGGTGCTTGGGGGATGAAACGATAAATTAGCATCAATTCCTAATCTGTCTTTCAGTCTAGTAAGGCTGACAGACAAGTACAAAAACAGCTGCTGTGTAGTGAGAAAAGTTATATACTTGAGAACTGTACCAAGTACAGCTGAGGCACAGCGGACCACTTCTGCTCAAATCGAGGAAATAAGAGAAGGCAAATGACAGGCAAAAGAGAGAGCCCTCTTGTCCTTGTTCTTCACTTATACATGTAATTAAAGGACACAAACCTTCTCATTAGCATTTTCATCCACAGGATATATGCTAGAGAGAGCTATGAAGATTTCTAATGGTGCTTATTAATCATAATGCAATTTTATTCAGGAAATAAACATAACAATGGTCAGGCTTTCAGCTTATGATTGACTATAGCAATCATATATAGTGTTTTCTGGCAACTTTACATTATACCATTCATTCAGTTTACCCACATTTCTCTTCTGTCCCAGGTCTTATCAAAAGAGCTAATAATACTCTCATGACCTCGGTTGGTAGTTTTACACATTTCTCTTAAACTATCCCCTCTTGCTCCTTATTTTATTCTTATTTTCCCCTCTTACCCTTTATGGACAGTTTCACTGCTAGTCTTCCTATCCTTCTGTCCTTTCCATTTTAAAAACACTCCAGAATTATAAATTATAGGAATTGGAGGAAAAAAGAGCAAGAAATAGTGTGCTATAATAAAGTATGCTGGTGACAATTTTTAATGCACATTATAGGAGGGAAGACAAAGAAAGAAAAGTTGAACAGAGAAGCTTTTGATAGCAGAGCAAGAATGATTTAAGCAGTTTCTGATGCATATTTCCCTTTACATGTATTTTGTAAAATTTCTGCATGCTGAAGGTGAATTGACAATAGAAAGCTAATATTTGTCAGTTGATAAAGAAGAACTAGGTTTCACCAATGCAGATTTATTTCATAAGCAAATATTTTTGTATTTAAAAGGTGGTTGAGCAGAGCAATATAATGACTGCGTTTAAAAGTTTCATTACCTAGTGTGAAAGGATAGAAATACTTATTATTCAAAAAATGGGGAAGGAAAAGGTAACATAGAAAAGAAAGGGAAAAGTTTCTGAAGAAAAATATAGAGTTAAAAGCAATAAATTATGACGAGTAGTCTATGGTTTATTAGACTTGAATAGATGGGAAGGATGGCTATGTTAATATCTTTTATTTCAAGAGGGTGAATAAAATGAAAAGCAGACAAAAAATGATGGCAGGTGCCTTGCTATGCAATAAGAAGCTACTAAAACTACTGTAACTGCCTGTGGCAGAAATAAATACCTTTTCAAAAAATGTTTGCAGAAGAGGTGGCACAGCACTGTCTATTTGTTGAAAGAATCATGGAAAAAGACTTCTGGAAGAGATGACAATGCTTGGGGGAAAATGTATGAATCATCGATAGTTAAAAAACAATCAAATCAAAAAAAGAGAAAGAATGGAGATAAATGGAAAGGGAAAGAGAAAAAGGAAAATATACCTGCAGATGCAGAAAATCTTTAGGTTTTAAGCAAGTAATTTCCAGATGGATAAAAGATTATAAAAAAGGAAGCAACAAAGTCAGAAATTGTGGATAAATACTTATATCACAATGTTCTTGATTACCAGTTCAGCCCATAATCATTTCTTCCTGAGGCACTAGCTATGGACCAGCAAAAGCTGGCTCAGAGCCAGCATTGCTGCTTAATGAGTTTTGATACACAATTCATCTAGCATTTGGGGAAAATGTAAATATGGAAAGTGTAGGAAGACCTTATAAAGTGAAATAGTCATAGGAAATTCTTGGAAATTAAAAGAAAAAGGATTCTGCAAGGATGCACTTTAAAGTATCCCTTAGGAAATGGAAATGGGAGATTTAAGGAAAGGAGAGTTTTCCATAATTCCTTTCATCAGTTTTTGTTTGGATTTTTATAGGAATAAGTCATAATTTTTAAATTTAAAAATTAATAAAGATTTTTCAAAGCTAAAAATAGACTAAACTCTCATTTGCATATTGTTTAGTCAATAACTTTGTCAAGGCTATAGGACTAATTAGTTGGTCAGGTAATGAATAGTCCCCTATCCTGACTTTCTTTTGTAAAAAGAGATTGAAGACAGTTAAGCATGAGAATAAATCAGATAGGCCATAAATTTTCTCAAATTGCTACTATTTTTTTGTGAAGACAGGGTAGGACATTTGAGTTTTGCATTCTCCACTTCTCTTGCCTCCTTCCCAGTTACAACTTGCAGTTCTCTGTTAAAAATTTCGTGCAACACTTGTTGAAATGCAGCTAACCAGGATCTATTTACAGATCCTTTTTTTTTTTTTTTTTGAGATGGAGTCTGGCTCTGACTCCCAGCTTGGAGTGCAGTGGCCCGATCTCGGCTCACTGCAAGCTCCACCTCCCTGGTTCACGCTATTCTCCTGCCTCAGCCTTCCGAGTAGCTGGGACTACAGGCGCCCGCCACCACGCCCAGCTAATTTTTTGTATTTTTAGTAGAGACGGGGTTTCACCGTGTTGGCTAGGATGGTCTCCATCTCCTGACCTCGTGATCCGCCCACCTTGGCCTCCCAAAGTGCTGGGATTACACGCGTGAGCCACCGCACCAGGCTCAGATACTCTTTTTCTGTAACATGGAGTTGAGCCCACAGATCTACATTTTAAATAAATGTCCTTTAGGGCAGGCATTAACGAATTTTTTCTGTATAGGGCCAGATAATAGATATTTTAGGCTTTGTGTGTCAGAAGGACTCTATTTCAGCTCCTCAACTCTGTAGCTGTAGCACAAAAGCAGCTATAGATAACATAAAATGGGCATGGCTGTGTTCCAATAAAACTTTAAAAACAAAACAAAACAAATAGAGCCATCAGAGTAGATTTGGTCTATGGACAGTAGTTTTCCTACCCTTGCTATAGAAGATTCTTTTCAAATGGGCTTAGAAGATATTTTGAGGATGTGCAATTTTATATATAATAGTTTTGTTAAGTGCAACTCACAGGATTGTTTCTGAGCATGGAGATGTAAGAGGTGTCTTCTCTCCTTTCACAAGGATGGTTTTACATCAGGACCTGGAAAACTTAATTGCATGTGTAATCACGTAATTAAGGAGTTTAGTATACTAACTGTCAGCAATAAGCGATTACTACCATGGCCTGCTGTTTTGATGAAATGTCAATGGTGGAGTATTGCATGATTAAATGTCCCTGACAATGCTGATGATAATATGTCAGTGATAAGATGCTGTATGGAGAAATGTCCCTACAATAAAATGTTGCATAACAAGATTTCCCTATGATGAAATGGTCAACAGAATGTCACCAGAACAAATGAACGCAAATGAACACACACACACACACACCCAGAAATGACATGGCAGCTTTGCTGCCTAACTACTTTCAATATAATTTATATTGATAGAAAGGCTTTTTACTTTTAAAATCAGGGAGTTAGTACATCTAAATGCTGAAAAGTTTTTTTTTTTTTTTTTTTTTTTGGGACACTGCCGGTGGCCCCTTTCATCTCTGTGGCTTCGTATCCTGCAGAATGTGTTGTGGAGCAGGCGATCCTGGCATCTCTGAGTCAAGAGAGCTAGTTCAATCGCCTGCTTTGCGTTCCCCACCTCTCCCACCTCCTTCCCAGTTGGAACAGTAAGTTCTCTATGAAAGCTTCTGCAAATGATGACAAGAAGGAGAGTTCTCAGGGAAAGCAGCTGAGCTTTAATGCGAGTAAAATGGTTCCAAATGTAAAACACATTTGAAAATCTAAATGTGTGCCCCCAAAACCACATCAATAGAACCTTTAATGATCTTCAGAACCAGCCTTTTCTCTTCCTGTCGGTAGGAAGATTGTTTCAAATCTGTTTGTGCCTGAAGCACTTTTGATTGTGACAGTCTTCTCATTCATGGGCTAAACATGGCGTCCCACTGGAAGTGCCATCTAGGTTCACAGCAATACAGTATGATATGAAAGTATAAACAGAAGTCGGAAGTGCATTTCTCCTCTGAGATAACAAGTGAAACTAGATTTTCAGACCACCTATTATGCCATGAAAAATAAAAGAGAAAGAAAAATAAGACCTACTCTATGTCAGCTGCCTGGTTCATAGGAATGAAACATACCAGGTCAATGTGGAGCCCTTTAAGTGACTCCTGTATGTATGGGCAGAATATCGATCCTTGCTCTGGGACCGTCATTAAAATTTTTCACAAGATAAATGCAAAGATATTAACATCAGCCTGAACTTCTTTCTGCTTTTTTGTGGGTTGGCTGATCATAATTGATTAAAAAATGGATTGGTTCTTAACCTGGCTTCATTTTCCTCTTTTGCTTTGAGTTCCTGCCTAAAAATAAGGGCTCAGCCATAGCTAATGATTGGGCTCCCCAACATATACATTAAGACTTACAATTCTTATAACTCTGTTACTCATAGTAATGAGCTGACTGGATAAAATAACAGTAGTTTTCTTATAGATAGACATGCTCCACCCTCATTATAGAACTATTTTCAAAAGCCAAGGATATTGAAAGTTATAACAGTAATGTCAGCCCTTATGATTAAATCATGAGGCACATGAGTTTTTCGTTTAAATTTGATGTTCTCATGATCTCAATATTTTTCATGCAAATCTTGTTATTTCTGCATCCTTTCACACTCCAGCTTAAATTGCTTGTCAATCGCCGTGCTTTTCTTGAGTGCAGCACTTCTGAGATTCTCCAATACGATTTTATACATCTATTTATATCTACTTCTTTAGTATATTTTCCCTTAAAGAAGACATTGGTACAGCATTCCAAATCACATTTAATGAAGTCTTTTGAATTGGGAACAGTAACTTTGGAGGCCAAATGAGATGAGGCAAGAGGATTGGTTTGGCCAGAAGACAGGTGTGGGGAAGAACTGTAGGTTAAGACAGGAAGAAGCCATTTTATACTTTAATTTATAGAATTTTAAAAAACATTTTAACTAGAGTGCTTACATTAGGGTTGATTAGAGCAAGGGCAAAGCTGCAGTCTAGCAAAGGGAAACACCATAAATAGGAAGATCATTAAAAGGTTAGTTAACGAAAAAAGACATTTAAAAGCACCCTCACAAAATAACCCTTGAAATCTCACGTTGTTAAAGGGATTTCAGTTTTTCAGAATCTATAAGCCCACAATTTAAACTTTTCAAACCAAATGTTCTTTCTGTGTGTGTGTGTGTGTGTGTGTGTGTGTGTGTGTGTGTGAATACTACTTCTGATAATCATAATATTTTCAAATACCATCATCTGCTTTGACCTTGGAAATCTAAGGGAAAAAGACCAGAGACAAATATGCTTCAGTCATGTCACTCTCCTTTTCCCAAATTTTACTAGACTTGTACCATGAAGATCTACTATTGTACAAGCAAGTTTTAGTCCCCTGTCGCCCATCTGCCCCCAGCACTCCATCTTGTTCACTCATACAGAGTAACATTTCGCCATGTATCTTGTAAAATCAGCTACCGTGCTTGCACAGGGCTGGAATGTCCTTGGTATAACAAGACATGCAATAATGTGCACTCATGTAGTTGAAGACATTTCTAATTGATTATACATTTATTTGCCACACCACTGTTCTCCTGGGAATATTGCTTAAGAAAAAAGTGTTTGAATAATCACATACTGTTTTAGGGATTCCTGATGTTTGCTAATGAATACACTACAAAGCTTTATTTTTCAAATGTGCTCTCAAATGTGTAACCTACTTGCTTTTTCCATGCATTTTTATATTCCAGAGGATCCTCTAGTGACAGAACATTTTCAATCATTACTTCTCTTTGGTGGAATCAATTACCTCCTGATAGATTCTCTTTACAAGTTTAAAATTGCATTTAAAAACTCATCTCTTTCTGAATTCTAATTGGACATCCTTTGAACTCTACATTTTTTTACTGAATATTTGTTTATGAATCTTTCTATGATTTAAAGGGCTCCCTATCACATTTCTGGACTGACTGCAATATTTAACTTACAAAATGTGATTCCTTTGTGAAACTACATTATGAAACAAAGATTTTATTTACTCTCAAAGGAAAGAACAGAAGCATAATCTTGACAAAGTAAAAAAGTTGAGAAGTAATCATGTACTTAAAACATATATTATTCTGCCTATGTGATTTGTTTAAAGTCACATTTGAGGATATCAAAAATAGAATTCCCTATGACTATCTCCTCACATGCAGAATCATATATAGGAGGTCATTTATATTTTTTATGTACATAGTAGCCCATTAGCTTTACAATAGTCATTATTTATCAAATTCATCAATCTGCAATATAATCAAGAGGTGAGAAGGTTAGACATATATCTAAACAATTATACTATGTGCTAACATTGACTACTGTCATATTTAAACCACTTTATATTGTTATTTGATTTTTTTTCCAATAACCCAATTAGATGGAAAATTTTAGTCCCTTTTTCCAGATGAGGAATATAAAAAAATGAGTTAAAGTTACCTGTTTGAACTTACATAATTAACAGAAGAACTGAGGTTTAAACTTAGATACTACTCATTCCAAAGCTATTCTTATTTTTTTAAGCGGCACCCTATCTCTCAAAGTAGATGGTAAAAAGAGTCTTGATTTTAAACATGTGTAGTTTTACCCATAAAAGAATTTGGGGGCCCTATACTTAGAGCCACTTCTTTCATTTAAAAATAAATCTTACTGCTAGCTTAACTGATTTCTTTAGTCTGCATTACAAGAAACTGAATAGAAAATGGATAGAGGGAAGGCATTGATGTTAAATACAGATCTGGCAACTTCTCTTCTCTCAAGATCACATAGAAGACACACAGGCAATGGTCATAATGCAAGTTTTTATTCCCTCCTCCAGCACTTTGGAGAATTTAGTACTTTTACCAACACTGGCAAAATCCAACTGCAGAAACCAGACAGTAAAAAATCTAAACCCAGATCCGTCTGATTTTAGGCAAATGCGAGACCAATCTTTGAAGCCAGTGTCACAAAATTTTAGCCTTTGTTTTTTTCTTTCTTTCTTTCCTCCTTTTTTTTTTTGACAAGTTCTCGCTCTGTCACTCAGGCTGGAGTGCAGCAGCATGATCTCGGCTCACTGCAACCTCTGCCTCCCATGTTCAAGTGATTCTCGTGCCTCAGCATCTCTAATAGCTGGGATTACAGGTGAATGCCACCATGCCCATCTAATTTTTATATTTTCAGTAGAGACAGGGTTTAGCCATGTTGGCCAGGCTGGTCCTGAACTCCTGGCATCAAATGATCCACGCCTCAGCTTCCAAAAGTCCTGGGATTACAGGTGTAAACCACTGCACCCTGGCCACGTAGTCTTATTTTATTTTCTGGCCAGCATCTTTAAAAATCTGAATTTGAATGCCGTTAGAATTTGAAATGTTTGCTTCAATCATAGGCTCCATCACACACTGCTGTCTTACTCTAAACTTGCTTAGTTCATTTATATCAACTTCTCAGCCCACAGAGATATTTGAGTTTGCAACTCTTGCTCTAACATGTCATGTAAAGAAAGGCTCTTTTTGCTATTTACTCTGGTTCTACTCGTGGTTCTCACTATAATATCCAACAGTGTGGGGGTTAGGGTGAGATGATTTAACGCTGGGTATTAAATTTAAGTAATTAAGATAAATACTACTTTAATGCAATATTTAAAACAATTAATGCCAAAAATTTATGATGACTGAAATAAAGGCATTATCTACTCCTGGCTCTAGTATCCAAACTGCCCTTTGGAGACTGTATTTTTATGCTAAAAGCCTTGAATCCAAGGCCTTCCTTCTTACTTGATTAGTTTCTACTCCATCTGCCTTACCTCCTCCTCTGAAAAATGTAGGGAGTAGCAACCAATCCTGATTAAAAGAGAGGAACTCAAACAGCAGATCCACATGGCTTTATTCAGAGGAGGGGCCTACATTCAGTATGCCTCGAAGAAGCCCTTTGTATAGTTGATAATTTTAAAACAACAATAGCTAACATTTATTGAACACTATATTTAGTTTCTGTGGTAGGCACTTATTTATTTTACTAATTCCTAACAACAATCTTATGTGATATAGCCATTATCTCCAGTTTCCACATGAGCCTAAGTCACTTGTCTAAGCTAAAGCCTGGTAGAGTAAGGGATTACATTAGGACATTATAATGATAGAACACATAATTTTAGAGATTACTAAAACTGATCTGTAGTCATAAATAGAAGGCTAATTGATTTTAGCTTAAGAAGCAGGAAAGCGATATGCTAAAAGAATTTGTTATGCACAACTGGTTGTTTCCATGAGATAATATTTGGAGATTTTTAGCCAATGCTTTTATTTATTTTACATTATTATTATTTGGAAAATTACATTATAAATCTGCACTGGAACTATAGAAATTCATTGCCTAAGGTGGACAAAATGTGCAGTCCAGGACAAAACAAAGTCATTTTTTGTTTTAAATTTGAAGATTGATTTATAAAATTTTCAGCACAGACTATAAGCTTGAAAATGCCCCAATTTTTAATTGTTACAGTGAAATATTTGATTAAAAAAAGCAGTCATTTTTATTTCCAAAAGTTTGGCTTTATCAAGAACCACAGAACCTAGAAGACTCAGATCAGGTACAGCATAAATCAGAGCAAGGAGAACTCCAGTATGACCTAAGAGCTCCCAAGGAGATAAAAGTCTGATCAGCAAGAGTAAGAGGGAAACTGAAAAGCATGGAATTAGAGTTAGATTTGCTGGTTTTCTGTGTGTAGACAAACAGGAAGCCTCGCAGAGGAGCCCCACATCCCACATGGTGTCTGAGAAGTAGAGCAGCACTTCCTCAGAGCCTGAGAGAAGTGTCATGTGGTATTGGTATTGCATGTCTCAGCATGGTGCAGGGAAAGTAGCTAAGATTAAGTGGATGTGTTTGGAATGAAGAGGACAGAGAGTAAGTGTACCTGAAAAGCAGAGGTCATGACAGGACCTCAGACACCCTCAGTGGATGAATAGGGATCAACCATAGTCAGCAGAGGCCATAAAAGATGGAGATGACCACAACTTGCTCCACTCTTCCATTTCTTCTCCCCGCCTGGCTTTTGCTCCATGTCATGAAGCTATGTCCAACTTCCTGGAGCCAGGGCCATCCAGGGAGAAGGGAAGACCAAGAGGGAGGGAGAAAATACTGAACTGTGACTGTGATTGCATAGTGAACTCAGAGATTGACATGTAAATTGGAAGTAATTGTGTTTAATCTTGAATTTGCAAGACTGAAATTTCCTTTATCTTCCCAAATGAGAAACACTTAAATTAAGTTTACTCATGGAAGAATAATGGAAGCTCCACCTCTGCGTAGCTGAGTTTTGTAATTGTAAAATTTATAACAGCTATAGGAAAATATCTTAACTATATTATGGTACTATAAGCTTCAGTTATCTGGAAAATTAACAGGTGGAACACTGTTCTGTCACTATAGTAGAAAGCTAGAGCATCATTTCATGTACAAAATATAAGTTAAATTTAGTTACCCATCCAAGAGTAGAATAAGAGGTATAAGTTTTAACATTCTAAAGATTTTAATATGACTATCGTATATTTTATGACTGTTACATGTTCGTATTTAGAGACACTAGATTCTACCAAAACCAGTAAGAAAAGAGTAATATCTTTTTAGGCTCAGACATTAGTACGGACCTACTATTTTTCCCAGTATTTTTAAGGCTATCGAATGAAGTTTGATGATTTTTGCTGCTACATCTATATTCATTTTCTATATTTAATCCAAAAAAAGACCTCCTATGGTACATTTTACTAGGGTTTAATATATTTCTCATTCTAGAATCAGCCCATATTTTAACTGTAAGTAGCACACTGAAAATCAGCAGTAAGAGAATGAAGAAACTGGAGTCAAGACAGGGTCCAGTAGAGAGAGAGAAAAAAAACCCACTGTTTTGGATTGTTCTTTCACATCCTAAGCAATCATGAATGTTACAGAACTAGAATCTGGACTTCTTTTAGCTACATGCTCAAGGTAAAATTGGTTTCATGTATATAAGGGTGCATGCTTCTGGAATTCATGATAACGGCTAGAGAAACATCAAACATTCTGATAAATCAAAGGGAGAAATTTGAAAATTTTAAGAAGCCTTAAAAATAAAAGTTCAAGAAAATGCTATGCCTTGGCAAAGATATTTCAGACGTTAAGATTTTTTTGTCTATTGGGATAATTTTTTCCCAGTATGTTAAAGAAAAGCTAAGCCTAGGGTGGTATGATAGGAAATCTACAAATATTAGAATTCAGCAAAATCTTTCTTTTTTCTCAAATCAAGATAAGCTACTTTAGCAAACTTTAGCTACCATAAACTAAGGATCCTCCTAAACCATACATTTCTTTTAATAATAATTTGATAATTATAAAAGTTAAATTGTATAATTTCTTAGTTTGAATTAATCAACATATTATTTTGACTCAGAGTAGTAAAGAAAAACATCCCTCTTCTCCATATTTGGAAACATCACCTGTTATCTGATAGAATAATTATTGTTGTTTTGGTTTCTAGATTAAAAGCAAATGACAGGGAGAATGCAAGAAGGGATTGCTGGGAAGAAGGCCAGAGGAAATTGGAGTGAGAAATTCAAAATGTATGCAAGAGTTTGTCTAAGGAGAATCAAAACTACTATGTTTAGAAAAGGTTGAAATTTCATTATTTTGCAAGAGTTACATCAACAACTGCAAAAGCTTCAGGAATTCCAGGTAATCAAGTCTTAGAAGCTCACTGAGCCAGCATGCTTCTTCCCATGAGTGCTGCCTCTATAAAGCAAATTTTTCATTTTCACATTAATAGCATGGTTGAGAAGCTCTTGATAGAGTAGCTTCTGGGGGAATGGAATTTGTCTGAAGAAGAAATAAGCCTGGAAAAGCTACAGTAGCCATAACTAAAGGCTGAAATTTACTTCCCTACCAGGACTTTTTTTTGAGTGAGGAAGCTCTGTTTTTGAAATCTTGGTGTGTTTTTGCCAATTCTAGGATTGCTTAAAACTATTGGGGATCAGAAAGAAAAGGATTTGAAAACATATCTTGTCAGCAGATTTTATTTTTTTAATTAAATAAGATTTTTAAAGAGACAGAAAAAAAAGATGACTTTTTTCTCTGGATTTCCCTGAGCAGTTGCATTCATGATAAATCTGTAGCCCACATACATTCTGTCTTCTATTACTCTGCTGGTTACTGACTGAAGCCCAATATAAAGTGATTGCTGCTCGCTCTCTCTCTCCATTTCCACCTCTTAACTCTGTCCCTTGTTTGCTGTTCTCCTACCTTCATACATTTTCTCCCTGATGTCTTTTCTCATATACTGTTTCAAGTATAGATTTCCCTAGTGGAGTAATATAGCATGGTCTAAAAACAAAACAGAGCAGAATTCTATATTGATGTAGATGGCCCAAGTGATGTAGTGAGATTTTTAAAAAGAAAATCCAAAATCCAAAAAGAAAGAAAAGAAAAGTAAGCAAATGGGAAATAAAGCAAAGAAGATTTAAAACCAAAATGCAGACTTGCAGCTCATTATACCTCTGACCACTTTACTCCAGAAATATGCAGAGGAAGGTTTATATTCAGAAGAGTATTTAGTTTTACAAAGCTAATAACATTTCCCTGGAGGATTGGAAGGTTATTAAATTTGATCACATTCCATTTTCTCACCTGATATGTTATACTATGTTGATCTGTATCAACACATCTATGTATCTGAAGGCATATGTAAAGTATAATATATTGCATTAAATTTTCTGAAGTTTGTGTAAGTTAATACACTATACTATTTTGTAGCTTACTTCTTTTTAAGACATTTAAATCAATGTAAACAGTCACAGTTAATAAACAAAAAAATTGTATTGAAATCTGATTTCAGAAAAATGGCATTAAATCTCAAAATTAGAATTTTATATTCCTGCCCTGCCCCTTCTTAATCTCTGCTGTGCTCCCTAGTTCCATCACTTTCAAATCTTTTCAATTTTTTTGTCTGTTTATTGTGTTCATCATGATTTCATAGACATATACCTCGTAAGGTGATTAACACAATCAAGTTAGTTAACACATTCACCACCTCACAGTTATCACCCTTGTGTATGTGGTAAGAGCACTTAAGATCTACTCTCTCAGCAAATTTCAAGTATATGATACACTATTGTTGACTACAGTCACCATGCTTCAGGTTACAGGATAATGATTCCCCAGAACTTATTCATCCTATAACCAGAAGTTATAAGTTTGACCAACAGCTCCTCATTTACCCCATCCCTCAGCCCATGGAAACCAGTATCATACTTTGTTTCTATTAGTTTGGCTTTTTAGATTCCATATATAAGTGAGATTATATAGTATTTGTCTTTCTCTGTCTGGCTTGTTTCACTTAATATAATGTACTTCAGGTTCATCCATGTTATCACAAAGATTTCCTTCTTCTTTATGGCTGAATGTTATTTTATCTATAATTCAGCCATAATATATATATGTATATGTGGGGACACACATACATAACACATTTATCTGTTCATTCATCAATGGACAGAGGTTGTATCTATGTCTTAGCTATTGTAAATAATGCTGCAGTGAATATGGGAGTAAAGATAACTCTTTGAGATACTGATTTTGTTTTCTTTGGATATACACCTAGAAGTGGGATGGTGGCTGGACCATATTGTAGTTCTGTTTTTAATTTTTTGAGGAAGCTCCATACTGTTTTGCATAACGGGTGTACCAATTTACATGGCCATTTGCATGTCTTCTTTGGAAAAATATCTATTGAGGTTCTTTTTCCATGTTTTAATTAGGCTACTACTATTATTATTTTTTGCTATTAAGTTGTAAGACTTTCTTATATATTTTGGATATTAACTCATTATCAGATAAATAGCTTGCAAATATTTTCTCCCATTTTGTAGCTTGCCTCATTTTTATTGCCTTATTTCCTTTCCTGTGCAGAAGCTTTTATGCCTGTCGTAGTTCCACTTGTTTATTTTTGCTTTTGTTGCCTGGGCTTTTAGTGTCATCTCCAAAACATCATTGCCAAGGCCAATATCAAGGGACTTTCCGCCTACAGTTTCTTCTAGTAGTTTTCCCATTTCAGGTCCTATATTTAAGTCTTTAATTCATTTCAAGTTTATTTTTTGGGACTTAGATGTAAGATAGGGGTTCAAGTTCATACTTTTGCAAGAAAATACAGTCTTCTATATGTCATTTATTAAAAAGACTATTCTTTCTGTATTGTGTATTCTTGGCACCTTTGTTGGAGATTAGTTGGCATTATTTCTGGGCTCTCTATCCTGTTGCATTGGTCTATATGTTTGTTTTTATGCCAGTGCCATACCGCTTTGATTACTATAGCTTTGAAATAAAGTTTGAAACTAGGAAGCATGGTGCCTCCAGATTGGTTCTTCTATCTTAAGATTGCTTTGGCTATTCAGGGTCTTTTGTGGTTTCACCCAAATCTTAGAATTGTTTTTTCTATTTCTGTAAAAATGCCATTGAAATTCTGATAGGAATTGCATTGAATCTATAGATTGCTTTGGGTAGTATGGGCATTTTAATTGTATTAATTCTTTTGATCCATAAACATGGGATATCTTTCCATTTACTTGTGACTTCAATTTATTTCATCATCTTATTTCATCATCATTAGTTTTCAGAATACAGATCTTTCATCTCATTTGCTAAATTTGTTCCTAAATATTTTATTGTTTTTATAATATTTTAAATGACATTTTATCGTATACTTTTTCAAACAGTTCATTGACAATGTACAGAAACAACTGCATTTGCATGTTGTTTTTGTATGATAAAACTTTAATGAATTATTTTTAACAGTTTTTTTTTGGTGGAATACTTAAGGTTTCCTAAATATACAATCATGTACCTATAAACAGAGACAATTTTATTTCCTTTTTTCTGATTTGGGTGCTTTTTATTTCTTTTTCTTGCCTAATTGCTCTGGTTAGGGTTTCCAGTACTTTGTTGAATAGAAGTGGTGAGAATGGACATCCTTGTCTTGTTTCTGATCTTAGGGGGAAAGTTTTCAGCTTTTCATCATTGAGTATGATATATCATGGAGAACGTTCACTGAGTGTTTGAGAAGAAGGTGTTGTCTGCTGCTGTTGGATGGGATGCTCTATATATGCGTTAGGTCCATTTAGTCTGTAGTGTTATTCAAATCCACTGCTTCCTGATTTAATTTCTGTTATGAGTGAAATATTAAAGTTCCTTACTATTATTTTATTGCTATTTATTTTTCCCTTCAGTTTTGTTAACATTTGCTTTATATATTTAGTTGCTCCAATGTTGAGTATGTAAACATTTGTAATTCTTATATCTCCTTGATACATTTGACCTTTTATTATTATGTAATGACTTGCTTTGGTTCTTGTGACCATATTTGACTTATTTTGTCTGATATAAATATAGCCACCCATTCTGTCTTTTGGTTACCATTTGCATAAAATATCTTTCTATATCCTTCAATTTTAGCTTATGTTGTCCTTAAAGCCAAAGTGAGTCTCTTGTACACAGTATATAATTGGAGCTTTTTTCTTCAATCTATTCAGTCACTCGATGTCTTTTAGTTAGTGAATTTAATCCATCTATGTTTAAAGTAATTTTGATAGATAAGGACTTACTATTGCCATTTTCTTGTTTTCTGATGGTTTCGTAGTTCCCCTGTTCCTCTTCTCTCTTTTGCTGTCTCCACTGAAATTTTTTTGTTTTTTGTTTTTTGAGACAGAGTCTTACCCTGTTGCCAGGCTGGAGTGCAATGGCGCAATCTCAGCTCACTGCTCCTGGTTCAAGCGATTCCCCTGCCACAGCCTCCCAAGTAGCTGGGACTACAGGAGAGCACCACCAGGCCTGGCTAATTTTTTGTATTTTAGTAGAGATGGGGTTTCACCATGGTGGCCAGGATGGTCTCAATCTCCTGACCTCATGATCTACCAGCTTCGGCCTCCCAAAGTGCTAAGATTGCAGGCATGAGCCACCGCGCGTGGACCTCCATTGAAACTTGATGTCTTTTTTTGGCGATACACTTTTATCCCTTTCTTTCATTCTTTTTTGTATCTACTTTAGGTTTTTTGCTTTTGGTCACCATGAGGCTTATATAAAAAAATCTTTTTATAACTGTTTTAGGCTGATAACAACTTTAATTTTAAAAACTCCATATTTACCTCTTACATTTAGGTTATTGATGTTACAATTTACATTTTTTTGTATTGTGTATTCATTATCATATTATGATAATTGTAGGTTTCTTAATTCTTTTGTCTTTTAACTTTTATACTAGAGTTGAAAGTGTTTATGTACCATTATTACAGTATTAGAGAATTTTGAATTTGACTAGGTATTTAACTTTACCAGTGAATTTTATACATTAATACGGTGTTATAATGTAAATTAGCATCCTTTCAGCTTGAAGAACTCACTTTACCATTTCTTGTAAGGCAGATCTAATATTGATGATCTCCCTCAGCTTTTGTTTGTTTGGGAAAGTATTTTTCCTTGATTTCTGAAGGGCAACTTTGCTGAGTATAGTATTATTGGTTAGCAGTTTTGTTTTATTTCTTTTTTCTTTTTCTGTTTTGAGTATATCATCCCACTCTCTTCTGACTTACAAGGTTTCTGCTGAAGAATTTATTTATAGTATTATGGAGGCTCTCTAGTATGTGACAAATCTCTTTTCTCTTGCTGTTTTCAAAATTGTCTTTGTCTAGACTTTGGACAATTTAATTATAATTTATTTTGGTGTAAACCTTTTCAAGTTCATCCTGTTGGAGGTCTTTAGTTCTCATGAATCTGGATATCTATTTCTTTCTTCCAATTTGGGAAGTTTTTAGTCATCATTATTTTAGTAAGGCTTCTGCCCATTTTTCTTTTTCTTTTTCTTCTAGAACTCCCATAATGTGTTTATTGTTTCACTTGATGATATTCCGTGAGTCCTGTAGCTTTTCTTAACTACTTTTTATTCTTTTTGCTCCTTTGACTGAATAATTTAAAAGGAGCTATCTTGAAGTTCATTTATGATTTATTTTGCTTAATGGAGTCTGCTGTTGATGCTTTCTATTTAATATTTTAGTTCAGTAATTACATTATTCAGCTCTAAGATTCTGTATTTTTTTAATATTGTTTGTATTTCTTTGAACTTCTCTCTCTCTCTCTTTTTGACAGTCGTGCTCTGTCATCCAGGCTGAAGTACAGTGACATGATTGTAGCTTGTTGCAACGTTAAACTCTTAGGCTCAAGGGATCCTCCTGCATCAGCCTCCTAAGTAGCTGGGACTATAAACAGATGCCACCATGACCACCTAATTTTTAGGGTTTTTTTTTTTTCTTTTCTTTTTTGTAGAGACAGGATCTCCCTTTGTTTCCCAGGGTGGTCTAAAACTCATCGGCTCAAGTGATCCTTTTGCCTTGGCCTCCCAAAGTGCTGGAATTTCAGGCATGAGCCACCATGCCCGGTTGGACTTCTCATTTTGGTCATATATTGTTTTCCTAATATCACTTAATGATCTGTTTTCTTATAGTTCACTGAATTTCTTTAAGATGACTATTCTGAATTCCCTGTCAGTTAGTTCATGTGTCTCTATTTCTTTAGGGTAAATTATTGTAGCTTTATTAGTTTTCTTTGTCATGTTTATTTGTCATGTGATGTCATGTTTCTCTGATCCTTCATGATCCTTGTATCCTTGAAATCATGTCTATGCATTGGGAAAACGGTCACCTTCTTCAGCCTTTACACGCTTGCCTCTGTAGTAAAAGAACTTCACCAGTCAACCCATCCTGGGGTTCTGAACAAGCCAATTGGTATCATCCTTAGGCAGGTTTCTTTGCCTCTGTCTTTGGTTGGACAAGAATACTACTCATGCTCTGCAGTTGGGTAGGGCCACTGGGTAGGCTCCATGGTTGGGTGGGTCTACTGGCTGGAGTTTCTGGTGGCCCAGGGCTTCTGGCTGTGTCTGTAGTTAGATTGGGCCTCAGACTGGGCTCTGCACTTGGGCAGGGTCTTTGGCTGAGCTTCCTTCCCAGAAAAGCCCTCAGACTATGCCTGAAAATTGGGCAGTGTTGCTGGCTATGCTCCCTGACTGGCTGGGAATTCCAATTCAGTAGAACTGCTCTCTGTGGTCTCTGGTCATACAAGGCTACCAGTTAAGCTCTGTGAATGGATAGATCCACTGCCTAGGCACTCCAGCTAGACAAAGTCAGTGACAGGGATGTGGTGCCACCACCAAGTTGCATGTACTGGTCACCGTGAACTCTACTCCCTTCTTTGTCCTTAGCTGATCCTAGGTGATCTAGTCCTGCTAATACCCTCAGAGTTCTCCAGAAATTGCTTCTATGACCTTTGTAATTCAGCTTTTGTTAGTTCTTTTGTTGTTCTTGTTGTTGTTGTTTTGTTTTCTCAGGGGGTGCTTCAGCCTCACCTCTGGTTTCTGGGATTTTCTCAAAGGTGTTTTTGTTTGTGGATAGTTGTTAATTGGCATTTCTGTGAGTGAGAATAGAGCCAGGGACCTCCTGTTCCATCATGTTATTGATGTTACTATTGATTTATATGGTTTAGACCTTATCTGTTTACTTCTTATTGTGGCAGATAAGAATTTGGCTCTCATATAGCTTCTTCTGTTTCCCTTCCATTATTCTAATATCATCATATCTCAATCTGAATATACTACGTTTTCAAAGGCATCATTTGCATATGCAAAGGCAACACATAAAGAGGAAAACATGGAATCAAGAAATCAAGGTCTGGCATAGGAGTGAAGAGAGTAAAATTTCCAGATTCATAGTCGCATAGTAGGCTAGGACAGTTAGAGGTTACATTGGAACATTAAGAAGCTGTTCTGGGGTTGGGGAAGGTGCATCAGTTTGAGAGAAAAATGTAATGGAAAACTAATCTGATATATTTGATCAAGTAGAAAACTGTACTGAAAGGCTGTTGGAAGGTCTGGGAAAAACTGGTACACAGAAAACCAGACAAATGAGAACAATTAGAAAATACTGGACTCTAGGCCGGGCACGGTGGCTCATGCCTGTAATCCCAGCACTTGGGGAGGCTGAGGTGGGTAGATCACCTGAGGTTAGGAGTTCAAGACCAGCCTGGCCAACACGGTGAAAGCCTGTCTCTACTAAACATACAAAAAAATTAGCTGGCTGTGGTGGTGCATGCCTGTACCAGATAATCTGGGGACTGAGGCAAGAGAATGGCTTGAACCTGGGAGATGGAGGTTGCCGTGAGCCAAGATTGCGCCACTGCACTCCAGTGTGGGTGACACAGCAAGACTCCATCTCAAAAAATAAAAAATAAAAAATGTTGGACTCTAGAAAAAAGAAAAAAATTCAAGAATGGAAGCTTAGTATGTTCCTTGACTCCGCAATGAATAGTATTATTTAGGAACTATAAGAACCAAATATAAGTTTAACTTCAAATTGGAATTCAGAGGCACTTAAATTATTAAATTTATTTTATTATATTTTATTGTGGTAAGCACACTTAATAAGAGACCTGCCCTTTTAGGGGGAATTTACATAAAAAATATATGTGTGTGTACTGTCAACTGAAGAATGATAAGTTTCATAAATCTGGAAAGGAGAGCTTTATTTCTCATAAAGGGCTATAGCCTGCAGAGTGGCTATTATGATAGGCTGGGAAGTATAGCCTACAGCCAGAAGACAGAAACATACACTTTGAGAGTTGGAAGAATATGACAGGGATTTATGCTAAAAAGGATGGCCAGATATACATATTCTGTAAGTTATAGGAGGAGTCAAGAATATTTATAAGAGAATAAACATGTGCATGTGCAATTGAGCTTCATTCCCCTCCAGGGGACCCATGTTAAAAAAATGGTGGTACTAGGCCCGGTGTGGTGGCTCATGCCTGTAATCCTAACACTTTAGGAGGGCGAGGTGGATGGATCACTTGAGCCCACGAGTTTAAAACCAGCCTAGCCAGCATGGTGAAACACCACCTCTAATAAAAATACAAAAGTTGACCAGGTGTGGTGGTGCACACCTATATTCCCAGCTACTTGGGAGGCTGAGGCACAAAAATGGCTTGAACCTAGGAGGCAGAGATTACAGTGAGCTGTGATGGTACCACTGCACTCCAGAGTCAGACTCTGTCTCCAAAAAAAAAAAAAAAAAAAAGGAAAATGATGTTAGCATAATCTGAGGGTGGAGCTTTCTGCTCTCTGACATCAAAAGGTGAAGCAGAGGACACAAAAACACCTAAGGCACATTCTCCATTGACTGGTCAGAACCACCCTGTGGTTGGTGATCTCTTTTCAGGAAGAAATGCTGGTCAGTTTCTTTGTCAAAATGACATAAGGGAGGGGCAGTGTCAGGCAGTTGGTTGATATCAATGGTGGAGTCTTTCAAAAGGGCTGGTTTCTGTTTAGCCCTTAGGGGGAAAGCCTAATGATGGTTAGTGACGGAGGGGATATAATGAGTCATGGCCAACCTCCCACCATGTCATGGCTGGGAATTCAGCTTCCAAGATTTCTCTGGAGTCCCCTTGACCAATCAGGGGTCCCTTCAGTTGATGGGCGGTGCTTACAATTTTATTTTTATTTCTAAGCACATTTGTATACATTTATACATAAATGCAAATATCACGTAAAATAGTAGTGAAGGGGCTAACAGTAATTGAATGTTTACTATTTTTGCACTAAATACTCTTACAAACACTGTTGCATTTAGGGAAGCTTCTCAGTGTACTTGATGAAATATGGGCTTTGAAGTTAACAGCCATGGTTCTGCGTCCCAGCACTGTCAACTATGAGCTGTGTGATCTTGAAAAAATTACTCAACCCCTCAAATTAAATCCTCCCCAGTTTCCTTACTTTTACAGTGACGATTACAATACTTATCTTGCAACGGGCTGTTGAAGATATTACATGAGATAATATGGGCAAAGTGATTACTACATACTACTCCTTCCACTAACATTAATACTATACAGAAGGAGTTCAGAACATACCACCTCAAAATACGGTGCTCTGGTGTCTTGATTGTTTTTGAGTTAAAAAACTGAAAACCAACAACAGATGCAGGAAAGGGCGCTGTGACCTAACTTAAAGCAGGAGATGAGATTCCCATGTGGAAGATGGTCTCCCTGCAACTGGAGGCAGAAAGGCGAAAGGCCTTCTTCTTACCAGAGATGACAAATTGAAGCCAAGAGAAGTCTGTACAAGCAAACCCTGTTAAACAAACCCTTATGTTTCTAGTCACTTCTACACGATTAACTATCCTAGTCCAACTCCCCTTGCATTGTCATGTTTTCACAATTTTGTACTCTTTGTTCAACTCAGTATACAAGTGTTCAATTCTAAGTGGTCCTCCATCTCTTTAAGAGGGCTCTTGTGTCATGGAAAATGTATAGTAAATAAATATACATGTTTTTTCTCCTGTTAATCTGTCTTATGTTAGTTTAATCCTCAGTCCCAGGTAAGAGAGTATAGGTAGAATTTTGCTTCCTCTAGAATACTACTGTCATTCTATTGCTATTGTTACTATAATACCTACTACTAGTAGTATATTTTATAAGCAAAGAAACTAATGGCTTGGACAGGTTAACACATTTAATGAAGATCGTATTTCTGCTAAGTGGAGGAACAGAGATTTAAAAATGGATCTGAGTGACTCTAAAACCTTCCCAGTATATCATACACTCCCTATGAGAAGCAAACAAAGTCACCCATAACATTTTAGACCTTTTGATTTGTAACATTATATCAACCATCCACTGACCTCAGTAAGTTGTCTCAAAATGGGCAGGCTTACACTGTGTTTAAGAAACCAATCACAGTAAGATTTGGACCACAAGGTTAGAAAATTTCTTGTTGAAACCTTTACCAGAACATTTGTCTCTGCTTTTCCAGTGACCAAGTGTAGGACCAATTAACAATAAAAAAAATTTTTTTATTATGTCCTAGATATAATATTTTGGGTCTTACTTAAATCTTCTGTTTGAGCAGGCCTCCTGTGACACCATGCTGGTGTGCAAAGCGGGGCACCACACCACCTCATTACTGCCAGGTGGGGAAGGAAGTCCAGATCCTTTTCTGTTGCACTCTTGGAGGTAGTGACTTTTTACTACTGGATGGGGATAAGTACAGCCTGCTCAGTAGTCTATGCTGACACCACTGAGGCTGATAAGGGGAGGATCTCCTTGTTATGAATCCCCACGTAGCCTGCACTGAGACTAAGGTGGTGGGAGAGACTTGTTACTGCTGGGAAGTGGTGAAAGTCTAGGCTTTGCACTCAGCTTCCTCTGATACCGCTTTAGGGAGAGGAGGAGGAGGCCCCTCACTATCTCAGATTGGAGGTGGGAGTCCATATTCCTGTATGCTCTCCGTTGACAACATGAAGTGAAGAGGATGTTTAACATCCAGGCAGAGATGTAGGTCCCAGCTCTGACACCAGCCTGACCAGGGTGGGTGCTCCATTGCAGCTGACTGAGGATCTAAGTTTCAGCTTTTCATTTGGCCTTTGCTGATCTGAGTGGGAGTGGGACTGTGGTTTTTTTTCATAGGGGTTGGCTGGAGTCAGTTAATGTCTAAACGTTTTATCTTGTTATGCTTCCCTTATCTAGTGCATTGTCTGGAGAAGACAGGCTTTTGTTGGGTTTTGTTGTATGTTTTTAAGTACGCATCCATTGATATTTCTGGATGCTTTCTTTTCTAGCATCCAGCCTGAGATATATGAGGCTAAAAGGAAATATGATGAGCTCCCTGCCATGTCATTCCTCAGGTCCTGAGATCCCCAACTGATCTGCCTTTTTCTCTCCTTCCTCAAAGTATTATGTTTTCTTTCTTTATTTTTTAATTTTTATTTATTTATTTATTTTTGAGACAGAGTCTTACTCTGTCATCCAGGCTGGACTGCAGTGGCGCGATCTCGGCTCACTGCAACCTCCACCTCCCGGGTTCAAGCGATTCTCCTGCCTCAGCCTCCTGAGTAGCTGGGACTATAGGCATACCTCACCATGCCCAGTCAATTTTTGTATTTTTAGTAGAGATGGGGTTTCACCATGTTGTTCAGACTGGTATCGAACTCCTGACCTCATCATCTGCCTGCCTCAGCCTCTCAAAGTGCTGGTTTCTTTTTTTTAATACTGTGAACTCTGAAAATTTGAGACAGGTCTCAGTTAATTTAGAAAGTTTATTTTGCCAAGGTTGAGGACACACACCCATGACACAGCCTCAGGAAGTCCTGATGACATGTGCACATGCTGTTTGGGACACAGCTTGCTTTTACATGTTCGGGAGACATGAGACATCGATCAATATATGTAAGACATGCATTGGTTCTATCCAGAAAGGCGGCGACAACTTGAAGCAGGGAGGGGCCTTCTAGGTCACAGGTAGGTGAGAGACAAATGGTCACACTCTTTTGAGTTTCTGATAAACCTTTCCAAAGGAGGCAATCAGACTATGCCTCTATCTCAGTGAGCAGAGGGATGGCTTTGAAAAGAATGGGAGGCAGGTTTGCCTTGAGCAGTTCTCAGCTTGACTTTTCCCTTCGGCATAGCAATTTTGGGCCCTAAGATTTACCTTTTACAATACATAATGTTCAGGGTTTAGTATTTCTTAATAAGACCAACATAGAGATGTGCATCTACTGTATCTCATTTGGAACTGGAAGTCCTGAACTGACTTTCAAGTGTTCTGTTTTTCACTGAACCCAATAAAGAAATTGAGATATTTTATTCAAAGAATTGTGTAAAAACATGAACACAGAATTTGTTCATGGACGTGTATTGCTACTTCTGAACCTCACACAGAACGCATCATTTCTAGATGATCTTGTATTGTGGGGTTGGACAATACAATAGTTATATGGATGGTAGTTTGAGCTATGGGGTGGCCCCTGGATCAGCAGCATTAACATCAACAGGAAATGTGCTAGAAATGCAAAGATCCACCCCCAACTAAAACCTACTGATTAAAGAACTCTGGGGGCTGGAAACCAGCAATCTGTTCTTAAACAAGCCCTCAGATAATTTAGATGTGGGCTAAAGTTTGAGAACCACTGAGCTATGGGAAAACGGGGTCGGCGGGTTGGGGACTCTGCAGTTTAGTATGGCCCTGCTGGTAGGAGAGTGCCCTACAGCCCGGGTATTCATATACTGTGCTATACCTGTGTGGCCTTGTCCTGGAGGGATCTCATGCAGCGCTTTCTTTCTCTTCCTTAATTTTGTGAATAAACCAGAGAAAAGAAAGTAACCATACACAGCGCTGAAGTTACAAGTTACCTGCAAATTCTTGGAGTGAATGAACAATTCAAATCTTCTACTTATTCTATGTGAGAATTAATATAGTCTGAGCCTGCCTAACATTTAAGTTGCAGAAAAAGAATGTTTAAGGACCCCTTGTGTAAAAAAAAATGCTTAAAAGTCCATTACTGAAAATATTATATTTTGGAATTATGCTTAAAGTTTCACTGCTGAAATTACTTTGAAGGAAATGGCGTCTTCCAAAATAAAGTAACACGTAAAGCTGCCTTTTTCTTTGCACTATGAGAGGAATAAACTGAAAATGAATAGAGATCTAAGCCTCTGTTTGAAGAAGATCCAAGATCTGCGAAGAGGCCATAAGGAGAGGGGAAGTTGATAGGGACTTAAGAGGGAGTTGGCCAAAACAAACTTGGCTGCTTTGCAAGTTTCTCTGACTTGGTGATGCTGTGGGTGCCCGTCAATACAAAACTAATTCTGACCCAGTTGGTTATTTTCATCCTTTATTATTGGCAGCATTTATGGCATTTAACAATAATCCTATGCTAAATTTGTAGGCAGAGGAGCATCTAGCTTTTAAGTAAGATTGTTTTCTCAGTGTTTTGGCAGAGCACAAACTACACACCATAAGGGACATTCTCTAACTCCGTTGAGCGTTATCCTTATTATTATTATTATTTCTTAAGGATATCACAAGTCTAGATTGTCTTTTTGACACTGTGATTCATCGTCATCTACCTTAAGGATCCCATAATGTTAAAAAATCTCTTGGCCCTCAGGGGCAGATAGACTCATATCTCACTTGCTCCCCTAAAAGGCACAAAATCAAATTACACCAAAAGCCTCCTTAGAGTACAGCTCTTTGCCAATTACTTGAATTATTTTCAGCCACTTTGGCACATTTCCTCTCCAGCTGAAATGAAAATCTTTTACTCTGCCCCAGTGAAGGATTTCATATTTCTTAGTGCTTCCACATATACTGTATAATGAGAATAAAAGCTTCTCTGCCTCACAGATCTTTTCGTACAGTGCCATAATGCAGGGAAAATAACATCCATTTCTAACACATGAAGCCCACGTATTTTCTAAAGAAGAAGAGAAAGGCATTAACATTACACAAGAAAACTATTTGCTCTTTGCTTTAAATTTCCAAATTTGAGGACACCGGAGATTTCAGACTTCAAAACTACATACATCTGTGCTGAGACATAGACCCTCTAAGGTGCTTCATTATTGGCACTTAAAGCTGGTTTCATGAAACACCTGGTCTGAGTAAGCAATATGATCAGAGAGTGTCAGCAGGGCAGACAGATTTTAAATGGAAGATTGTTACTTACCCAGAAGCCATTTTGAAGCGAAAAACAGCATTATCAGCAAACCAGTAACAATAACTTAAACATCCCCAAGTGCATTATTAACACTTCTAGCCCTCTAAAGATTAGATGACTTCTTTATAAAAGTTTTTATGTCTCGAGAGAACATATTGTTCTCTGCATTTATCATTTTACAAAAATATTATTTTTCACCAATAGTCTTACTTTTATTATTCCGTCATCTTTTATTTTTGCTTCTGATAAGTGTTATTTCCTCTCTACCAGTGCCTGCAGCAGCCTGCACTGCAATCACTACCCATTGCTCAGTATTTGTCCGTTTTCTCAACAGCCCTTTGGATTGAAACTCTTGCCTGGAGCATTAAGAACTTGGGGGAGAAATCACTACTCACTGCTTTGCTCGCAATTCTCATTTGGACTAGCGCTTGCAGAAACTGAGCTGAACTTTCCGCACTGTTATTGCATCTGTAAGGTAATTGCCTAAACTTGTTGAGCCAATCGGAATTGCTGTTGTTGACTTTTGCAAATGTGAAGAATCCGATGAAGCAATTTGTAAGCCATATGTGGTACATCCCTCTTTCCCCACTCAAAGTCATATTGCTCTCTATAGGATTTTGTGTGATCCTTATGAAACATCACACTCCAGAATTCTATTTTAAAAGCTTCAAACATTAGTGTTTAAAAAGTCATTCATATTTATGGGACCATTTTGTTGCCAAATTCTTGTATTAAAAGAGGGTTAAAATTCTTTAGTAGTACTTTAATGTCTTGGAAAACTTACAGAAAAAAATTATTTAAAAAGAGAGAGAACAGATACACACACATTCATACAGTCTGTAAAATAGGGGAAATATTGTGTCATATGACTGTGTTACATTTTTTTCATCATAAAATTTGTGTTGAGTGCAGGGGCATTCAGAAATGTCTCATTACTATTGCTTCCTGAGTTGAAAAAATCGATTTTTTTTTTTTTTTGAGACGGAGTTTTGCTCTTGTTACCCAGGCTGGAGTGCAATGGCGTGATCTCGGCTCACTGCAACCTCCACCTCCTGGGTTTCATTGATTCTCCTGCCTCAGTCTCCTGAGTAGCTGGGATTACAGGCACCCGCCACCACACCCAGCTGATTTTTATAGTTTTGGTAGAGATGGGGTTTCACCATGTTGGCCAGGCTGGTCTCAAATTCCTGACCTCAAGTGATCCACCTGCCTTGGCCTCCCAAAGTGCTGGGATTACAGGTGTGAGCCACCGCACCCGGCTAGAATGTTTGCTGTGTACATAAACACACACACACACACACACACACACAGAGAGAGAGAGAGAGAGAGAGAGTGAGGGATTTATACCTTCAGTAAAAGCACAGGGAATGTAAAAGCCTTATGTGTTCTCTCATTTAGAGAAATACTGAATGAAGAAATTATAAATTTACTAGACCACATTCCTATCCTCACTTGTTACAAAATTTGAAGTACTTTCCTACATGAAAGAAGATATTGCTCTGACCCAGTTGAATCCTCACTGAATGCTTAACTAGCTAAATTATCCCCTTCATATTTGATGTCATGCAGGTCAGTATCTCTTCAAACAGAGAATTACTAAAAACTAGTCCAATTTCAAAAAATTTTAAAACATTTTTCTCTCTTGCAGATCAGTGGTTAAAAAGATAAAATAATCACCTAAAGTAACCATAATTCCACAGATCCTGTTACACATATTTACCTTGCTGTCTCAATCTTTTTCTTAAAAAGCCACATTATTCACAAATCCAAGAATAATGTACTGACTTGGCCAAGAAAAGTACTATATTGGGACTCAAAGCAGAGGCCTAAGAAATTTAAGTTAACTTAAGACTATGCAAGTGATTACATTTACAAGACAGCACAGGTTATGCTGTTAAGTGAAGGCTGTAAGTTTAAGAAACTTGAGAGTTCACCAGAATCAAAGTGGGGTGGAGGACAGACAGAGCTGACTGCAGCACTATCCATGGCAAGCAGCTGAGGCATTTCAGTGCAATGCGGTAATTATAATGATTAATGAAAATCATAAATGGTTGTGCGATACTGTACTTCTGCAATGTGCTACATAATCATGACTGATACGATAATTATTCCTGAGCCATGTGAAGGGAATCAAAATCTGGGATTTCAACAGGAACCATGTTCTTATAGGAGGTAATAAAGGTTGTAAGAAAAATAGGAGGAAAATAACAATGGAAGTATATATCTTAGATTGAGCACAATGATAATTAATAACCTCTTAATAACAACTTATTCTAAGTGCTAAAAGGAGTTACACAACACCAAGATTATATAATATAGTCCTATTTCAAATAGAATTGTAATGTAATAAATTGAACCAGAGTAACAAAGCTGTATTCCATTGATCCATGAATAAAATATATGTATGTGGACAGATGTTGTATATAGTTAATGAAAATATTCGCACGCAAGCAGAGGTACTGGTGAAGCAGATAACTATTAAGATACGGAATGAGTTTTAAAAGACAGTAAAGATTTACAGTAGGAGGTAAAAATTGTTTTCAAATATGATGAATGGAACAGAGGCTACTGTGAGAATATGGAACATTCTGAGAAAAATCTTAAAAGTACTCAACAGAAAAAATTGGATGGGAAACTCATATAAGAACTGAGTTAGGGAGGGTGGAACAAGTTGATAGGCAATTTGGAAATCTGGCCAGGAATTCTGATATAAAAATTCAGGAAATTAAAGGCTTTTCAGAGATTTGAGGAAAGAGGCATGCAGGCATGCTTACAGAGGATAAAGCTGGCCATCAGAATGCTCTGAATATGAGGGCACAAAATAAAAAGTAATTAAGAATGTAAAAAAATTGATATAGATTTCTGCTGCAAAATCACTTTATCTATAATTGGAAGATTCTCAGTCCTGGCTAACTAAGGAGATTTTAATGCTAATTAGATTGTTGCAGTGAAAAGATCTTATTTTTTCACATAAACATCCTTCCCCCCCTCCCATTGACTACAAAAATATTTTCGTTTCACTTTATCGCAGCAGCTCATTTTGATTACACTCAGACCTCAGTGCATCACCTACACCTACCCAGCTAATCTGAGTAATTAAAGAAAAATGGTGCATGATGCATTTATAGTTAAGTAAAATGAATATAAATCTTGCACAACAGCTGGATTCCTATACTTGGCAACACGGCACAGTTAGAGAAAAGCAATCATCTTCCTTTCCTGTTGGCAAAACACTTCACTGGTCTCTCCAATTTCAGCCCTCTTCAGGATTTAGTGCCTTCTCACTTTATAATGCATAGAACGCTACTTCCAGATGGACAGCCTTGTCATACGCTATTTTTATGCTGCACTTTAGAATTTTAAAGTGGGAGCAGTTATTCACCACACATGAAATGTATCACTTATTGTATACATTGGAGCAGCTTTTCAAATCAGCATGCTCAACCAGCTGCTGATGAGCTTTATACACTCAAATGAAAGAACGGAGGCTTAAGTTAGACAGTCAGCATACATTTGAATGTGCTTGTGTGAAGCTGACAGAGTTTGAGGACAACACAAAAGAAGAGAAGGTAAGACTCCTGCCCTTGAGGGGCTTCCAATCCTACATGGAGATTAAAACAAAACTTATACCCTTGACAAGAATTTGAAGGCAGAAAGCATCCTAGTACCTGTGTTATGCATACCCAGGTGCTGAAGAAATGAGAGAGAGAGAGAGAGAGGGAGAGAGATCAAAATTGGGCTGGCGTGTTGGAGAAGGGTTCCAGAAGCAGTTCACTAAGTCTTAAAGGAAATTATTTACATTTCAATGCAAAAGCCTTTATTGGTAGTATATTTTCTTTTTAACAGGAGAAAAACTTCACAAATATCATTTAAAGCATCTACGTAATTGTTTTGGTTGGATTGTAAAAGATATATAAAGGCTTGAGGTATGACATTAGAAAATGAATAAAAAATTAGGTACTTGGATTTGAGATATACAGAAAATAGAGAACCATTAGAGATAATAGAAAGCATGAAAATAGTATTTTTAAAAGAAAATTTATTTTATTTTAGATTCAGGGGGTACATAATGCAGGTTTATTAAATGAGTGTATTACATGATGGCGAGGTTTGGGCTTCTGATGATCCTGTCGCCCAAGTAGTGAACATCGTCCCCAATAGGAAGTTTTTCAACCCTTGCTCCCCTCACCCCTCCTCCCTTTTGGAATACCCAGTATATAATGTTCCCATCTTTATGTGTACCCAGTGCTTAGCTCTCACCTATAAGTGAGAACATGTGGTATTTGGTTTTCTGTTTCTGCATTAATTCACTTAGGATAATGGCCCCTAGCTCCATCTATGTTGTTGCAAAGGACATGATTTTGTTCTTTTTTTATGGCTGTGTAGTATTCCATGGTGTATATGTCCCACATTTTCTTTATCCATTCCACCATTGATGGGCATCTGGGTTGATTCCATGTCTTTGCTGTTGTGAATAGTGCTGCAATAAACATACAAGTGCATGTGCCTTTTTGGTAGAAGGATTTATTTTCCTTTGAGTATATACCTGGTAAGGGGATTGCTAGGTCAAATGGTAATTCGATTTTTGGTTATTTGAGAAATCTCCAAACTGCTTTCCATAGGGGCTGAACTAATTTGCATTCCCACCGGAAGTGTATAAGTCTTCCCTTTTCTCTGCAACCTTGCCAACATCTATTATTTTTTGACTTTTTAATAATAACTACTCTGACTGGCATGAGGTGGTATCTCATTTTTTTTTATTTTTTATTTTTTTGAGACAGAGTCTCACTCTGTTGCCCAGGCTGGAGTGCAGTGGCCTGATCTCGGCTCACTGCAACCTCTGCCTCCTGGGTTCAAGCAATTCTCCTGCCTCAGCCTCCCGAGTAGCTGGGACTACAGGCACGTGCCACCATGCCTGGCTAATTTTTTGCATTTTTAGTAGAGACGGGGTTCACTGTGTTAGCCAGGATGGTCTCGATCTCCTGACTTTGTGATCTGCCTGCCTCAGCCTCCAAAAGTGCTGGGATTACAGGCGTGAGCCACTGCGCCCAGCTGGCCCTCATGGGTTTGATTTGTATTTCCCTGATGATTAGTGATGCTGAGAATTGTTTACATTTGTTGGCTGCTTGTATGTTTCCTTTTGAGAAGTATCTGTTCATATCTTTTGCCCACTTTTTAATGGGGTTGTTTTTTTCCTATTGATTAGTTCAAGTTCTTTGTAGATTCTGGAAATTAGTCCTTCATCAGATGCATAGTTTGCAAATGTTTTCTCTCATTTGGTAGGTTGTCTGTTTACTCTGTTGATAGTTTTTTTGTTTGTTTGCTTTGTTTTGTTTTGTCTGTGCAGAAGCACTTTAGTTTATTTAGGTCCTAATCAGCAATTTTTGTTTTTGTCATATTTGCTTTAGCAGACTTAGTCTTAAATTCTTTGCTTAGACCAATGTCTAGAAGAGTATTTTCTAGGTTTTCTTCTAAGATTTTTATAATTCGAAGTCTTACATGTAAGTATTTAATCCATCATGAGTTAAATTTTGTATATGGTGAGAGGTAGAGGTCCAGTTTTATTTTTCTGCATGTGGCTAGCCAGTTTTCCTGGCACCATTTATTAAGGAGTCCTTTCTTCATTGTTTATTTTTATTAACTTTGTCAAAGATCAGTTGATTATAAGTGTGTGGCTTTATTTCAGAGGTCTTTATTCTGTTCCATTAGTCTATGTGTCTATTTTTGTATCAGTACCATACTGTTTTGGTTACTGTCGCCTTGTAGTATAATGTGAAGTTTAGTGACATGGTATCTCCAGCTTTATTCCTTTTGCTTAGGATTGCCTTGGCTAGTCAGGTTCTTTTTCTGTTCCATATAAATTTGGGAATAGCTTTTTATAATTCTGTGAAAAATGATGTTGCTAATTTTATAACAATAGCGTTAAATATGTAGATTGCTTTGGGCAGTGGGGACAGCTTAATGATATCGATTCTTCCAATCTGTGAGCATGGAATGCTTTTTGATTTGTTTGTGTCATCTCTGATTTCTTTCAGCAGTACTTTGGAGTTCCCCTTGTAAAGATTTTTTTTACCTCCTTGGTTAAATGTATTCATAGGTTTGTGTGTGTGTGTGTGTTTGTGTGTCTCTACTGTAAATAGGATTGTGTTCTTGATTTGGTTGTCAGCTTGCACGTTATTGGTGTTTAGAAATGCTAGTGATTTTTGTAGGTTGATGTTGTATGCTGAGACTTTGCTGAAGTCATTTATAAGGTCTAGGAGTCTTTTAGTGGAATCTTTAGGGTTTTATAGGTACAGAATTATACCATCAACAAGAGACATTAGGTCATTTGACTTCCTCTTTTTCTATTTGGATGCCTTACAAACGGCATTTAAAGAAGACTGGTTTCTTAACTGTTTGTAGAAACATGGGGCAAAGATCCAAAATCAGCTGAGTAACTCAAGCATTAAAGGGATAAGGGCCTGATCTTGAGAGCTGGCTATAGAAATGGATAAGGAGTGGTATGTTCTCTATTAAATCTTAATTCTGTATATAAATTACTTTTATCTTTTTCAAATAAGTTTGGGATTTTAGTGGCTTGTCAGGGTAGTCTTATGAGGTCAAGCCAATGAGAGACATTGCTACCATTTTTAGCAGGGCGATGGTGTGTGGAAATGCTTGCTGAATAAAGTGGGGTTACAGGAAATGTCAACTTTTGGGAAGCATCTTAATTAAAAAGGAATGTTTCTTTTTGTTTCTTTCCATGCACCATACACTCTGAATCATCATCATATGGTATTAACTTATAAATCAGATAATTGTTCACATCTTGGGCATTGAGTCATTTCTTTTCTGAGAGTAGTTTGCACTGAGTTTGAGAGACACTTCATCTTTCAGCTAAAGATGGTGTTTAATGATTCTATGGAATTCTGCTCTGTAGACCAGAGGGATATGATAAATCACTATTAATACTGGGCTGACTATAGATGTGATTCTGTGAGTCTGGGGGTGGATGGTGAATGGGGTGATAACTGTATGATTTCTGAAAGCTCTACAGGTACTAATTTGGAATCCTGACTTTCTCTCTAAAACCAGTCATGAAAAAAATTGACTTACGAAGTTTTGGAAGTGGAGAGTTGGGGTAGAGGGCATTTCTTTATATAATACTTTGTTGTTATTGATATTTCCCCTCTAGAGACCTTTTCTGTCACTGCATAATGCTTTCTGTCTCTCAACCTACATGCAAATACGTGCAGTAAAATGTGTACAGATAGCTAGATGGCCTTCTCTTAACATTTGCATTTAAAATTTTGCTAGTTTACGTTGTTCAGTGAAAGTGCCTGTGTTTTATCAACTGTTAAATTTAAAAATCTTTGGCCTTTACATAAACATTGTTGCCATTCACTAGGGATGTCAATTTGTTTTGGTAACAAATCCACTCTTTTTTCAAAATTTACCACTCTGCTTCATCACATCTCATAACTGAACACTGGATTGTCATAGTTGATATCTGTCTTAACAGCTTACCAACCTAACTACCTTAATCTCTGTGGCTCTGTGCATTACTGGCCCTGACTACTGTCATTAAAGCTTTCACCTCTTCTTTTCTACCTGCTTCCAAGTACCAGTATTGCTTCAATCACCTTCTTTTTTGAATCAAAGAAAATACTGTAATCCCTAATAAGTATGACAGTGCTTATGTGGACAGTGAAATAGAGTATCAACATTGCTCAGGAAAATACAAGCTCTGTGGTATGTAATTTATGATGCTTTGGTTGCAAGCAACAAAGAACAATGTGCAAAATTTCTTAAGTGATATTAGAATTTATTATCTCAGATAAGAACCCAGAGATGTCATTTTAGGGTTTGTTAACTCAGTGGGTCAACATTATCCTCAGTAACTTAGGTTTGTACCATCTCTCCATTTGTGTCCTGTCATCCTCAGTGTATTGTCCCATGTCCTCAGGCTACACCCCTTAGAAATATAGGTGTGCTGCAGCAACCTTGTATTAGTTTACTAGGTCTGCTAACAAAGTACCACAAACTAGGTAGCTAAGACAAGAGAAATTTGTTGTTTCACAGTTCTGGAGACTGGAAGTCTGAAATCAAGGTGTGGGCTGAGTTGGTTCCTTCTGTGATATATGTGAAGAATCTGTTTCCTGCTTCCCTCCGAGCTTCTAGTTGTTTACTGGCATTCCATGGCTTGTAGATGCATCATTTCAATTTCTGCCTTCATCCTCCTATGACGTTCTCCTTGTGTCTGTCTTTACATGACCATTTTCTTATAAGGTCACTAGTCATATTGGATCAGGGGCCAATCTTACTCCAATATGGTCTCATCTTAACTAATTACATGTGCAGTGATCCTGTTTCCAAATAAAGTTATATTCTGAGGTATGAGAGTTAATGTTTCAACATTTTTTTAGGAGAACACAGTTTAATCCATGACAAAGCCCTTGTATCATATCTTCATATAGCAATGTTCAAAGGCTGAAAGAGCAAACATTTCCTTATTTTCCTTTTCCCCCAGTCCCCCCAGCCCCAACAGACACAATAGACTTTCCCAGGTGTCTCATTGGCATGGAAAATATTGCCTGTCTTTATTTAAACCAATCAGAGTAAGTGGAATCACTGTGATAGGTTTATACTAGAGTCTGGGAAACTTTATCTGTAAAGAACCGAAAGGTGATAGTTTAGGCTTTGTGTGGCAGATACTTTATACTGCAACTACTCATTGTAGCATACATACATTCACAGACTATAATAAATGGATATGGCTGTATCTCTGTAATTTTTTTTACAAAAACAAGCAGTGGCTGTATTTGACCTGAGGGCCAGAGTTTGTCAGCCCTTGCTTTAGATTAATACAAATGTACTATCTAAAGTTGGTGACTGACCCCATCTTCTTGGAAGTATAGAACTAATTTTTCACTTTATTTTTAAAGAAAGGAAGAAGTTTAATATTTTTTGGGAGGCAACATATGGTCAATGTAAGTATAGCATACAGCCTTTCTAATTTTGGGTCTCTTTTGGTACATCTTGCCATAACTACTCATTTGAAAATGCTTCCTTGCAAAAAAGGTGTTGAGTATAGGAGTCACGATGTCTTGGGAAGCTAGATGACTATTAGCAACTTGCTAGTAACATCTGTTAAACCCTCTGTGCCTAAATTTTTCATTAGTGAATTGGAGGTGATAATAATAGTACTACCTTATATCTAGAGTCTTATATCATTTTTATGTAGATTAAATGATAACCTAGAAATGATCCTCCATTTACTTGAATGATTGTAAATGATTTTATTTTGAGTATATGGCCTATTTCCACATTGTGGAGGCACCAGAACTTGAGGTAAAATTTTATACAAACTTGCTTTCCCAAATAGTATTCTTTCTGCTAATAGCCCCTTCAGGATGAATGAATTAATTCATGTAATTATATATATGAATGAGCCATAGATACAAGGATGATCTACAATACAAGAAATAATAAGACACCAAGTTTAATTAATGGTACTCATGATCACAGCTGGAGAAAAATGGACCACAGCACAATAGATTGAGCCTGTGGATTTGGATTCTGTTGGCCTCTACAATCAATATGGATCACCCTAGGATGGAAAGAGCAGTAGAGATCCATATTGATGACAACAGGCAGAGGCAGCCCTTGAGATCTGTGCCTGCATTGCTCTTGTTGGTTTTTATCGCTTATTCGTAAATGCAGTGTAACTGATTCTGTGTTGTATTCTGTTATTGCTACTTGCTCCATAGGTACTGGATTCACAGCACTATTGTTTACTCAGGAAGAGAGAAATCTTAGAATGGCAAACTTGTCTTTTACTTCTTTTCTTCTCTCTATGACTCACATTGGTGATGTCATTCTACAGAACACTAATTCAACTACTACACATTTCTTTTTTTTCAGAAGGCCCTTAAAACCTGCATAAGATGGCATTATTGAATAAGCCCTCCCATCATCTTTCCATATTTATTTCTAATCAAAGTTGGACTTGAATTTCCTTATTGTTGAATTTCAGAATTTTAGAAAGTGAAGAGACCTTTGCCATCATATGGAGCCAATCAAATCAATACAAAAAAGGATTGGATTGACGTTATATAGCCATTAATGACAAATAATCAATGTTCTTTACGCTACAGAATTTGTATTGTGAAAAATTTCCAAACACATGCAAATTTAAGACAACAGTATAATGAGTCCCCTATGGGCCTATTAGATTGGTAATATGGGAAAGGCTCTACAATTTTCAATTCTTGCCTTATTTCCAGTACGCTTACGCTGACCACATTTCCTGGTTTAAACCAAGCCATGACTGTTAATGATCTTAACTCTCCATTTATTTTTCAAATGTGTTCTATTTTGGATAATGAATTACATGGTCACCCTCTCAGCATACCTTACTAACCTCTGCCCACTGTCTAGCTCCATACACACTGACACTGGATTATTTTGAAACGAATCCCAGACCTTGTATCAGTTCATCTTTGAATATTTTTTGCACAAATAGATTTCTTGTTAAGAATCTTTAGCTTGCCATATGTCCATTTTCTCTAAAACCATATTAAAATACTAATCAAAAATAAAATATTTGGAGGTACACAATGCCAGAGTCATGCAGGATAATATGTTCTTCCTCTTTTTCCTCCTCTTTCTTTATTTTTGAGTTGTGTTTTTATGTTCCAGATGGACTATTTTGACTAAATTGACTAATCAATGTCGACCTGTGTGACTCATTATTTGACTTGAGGGACTGATTATTTAATGGTTTAGACAAATCCATTGGTAGTTTTGGCACCTGCAGACGTACTTCAGTTGCTAAAAATATGATATATGGGATGTAGTTTAGGGCTGTGGTAAGAAAAAATAAGTTAGTTCTTATAATTATTCCTCCTGTATGACTTAGTAATTATAAAATTAAACACATAGAAAAAAACTCCTCAGTTTTAAACACGCTTCAAAAAGATCTAGAAATTGTCAATTTTTTTTCTACCACTATATAAAATATCTACTGGAATAACCTGCATGGATTCGAAGAATAGTTGAAACATGTGAGAGGTTTCTATCAGTCAATATGAGGCTTTCACATAATGTGCTATTTTGGAGCTGGGGGAGGGCTTTGTTTATATGTAACACAATCTTGTGTGTAACGTGGTGATTTAATTACCAGTTGTTGCCTTTTCCTTTCTAAATTTTAAGAAGGCTAAGACAGTAGTGATGTTGAAAGAGAGGACCAACATGGTTAACTCCTACTAAATAATTATTTTTAGATAAAGCAGACAGTATCTTTATTCCTCTCAATATCATCATACAAAGCTTTCTCTGCTCTTGGAATTTACTTCCTAAGATTCCAGATTGAGCCATTGCAAAGATTACAACCACTTGGGAATATTCTATTCAATACAAACCAATAGAGTCCAAGTAAATTTCCAGCTGAGACATTTTGAGCAAATTGTATGTCAGGTTTTTTGTGTAGTAGCAAAAGTCCCAAGACCTTTTGACAAGATCTGAATCTTTTAGTTCATTTGAAAAGGACAAAATCAAGACAGTCTTGTGTATGTGTATGTGTGTGTGTGCGTGTGTGTGTGTGGTGTATAATGTACTTATATATTGCTATATAGAGACATTTTGTCTTTAGATTTTTTTCTATAGCAAGATAAAAATCAAAAAATCAATTTCTTCTGAATGCATTAAATCAAGAGAACAGTGGTTAGACTGAAGTTTTTTTTTTTTTTAACATTAAAACCCTAAAATTCCTATTTATTATCTTCTGTCACTTAAAATCCAATCCAATCTGGTTCAAGCACAAATATCATTTGTCATAGAATTGAAGATACTGGGATTCATATCCAATCTTGATCCATTTCTTGATTAGTTTCTCTCTCCCTCTCTCTCTTTCTCTCCCTTGCTTTCTTTTAAGATTTTTGGTTTCTCTTGAGGTCTCTTTACCTTTGGGGCATAACAGCTCAAAAAACCTCTGTGTTAGAAGTTACAGCATAATTCGCTTTACTTGGCCCTGTGTTTATGACATGATTGGTATCTGTGAGCAGGTAGGGAATTGGAAAAAATGTTCCATCTGACTCTGAATGTGGCATAGTCTGATTACAGCAGACACTATGAGACAGATCTCTTTACTCTGATCCTAGGAATATCCTATTGCTCTTTTACTGACACCAGGAATAGTTCTGTCTTTTTAACCTTCTCCAGAGATAAGATTATTCCTGGTTCTGGGCCTTGACTATAACTCTAGCGTTATCAGTTGTCAAGGCATGCTCTCTACAACCTTAATACATCCTGGCAATCACTATACTGAATGATTCTGTGTCCTAACCTCGAACAAATTCTCATCTTGGCCACGTTTTGCAAAAATTTTCAAGTACACATGAAGCTAATGAAAAGAGGTTAAACCCAAAGCTTTTAGCTTAATTGTGCATGCAGTCAAGGTAGAAGAGTCAGAATGCTGCATCTTCCTGCTGCAGTGACTTGTATTTTCTTGTCGTTAAGCCCTAAACCTTTCTAGGCTGGTATGCATAAATAAGAAGATAAGAGAAATGAACTTGTGTCCTGAATATGGAACTCTAAACACTTAGAAAAGAACCTTCCTTAAGAGTGGGCAGAAATCTGTTCATCTTCACAAACCCAAGGAACAAGGCACAGGTCTACTAACTATAGAAAGATGGAGATAAGAACAGCTGGAAAAAGCTTAAATGGCACATTTTTTTCTCATTTACATCTTCTTCATGGTTCTGATTTTCCTCCAAGGAACCATTTCAGAAAGCAAATGAAGAAATGTACCTGGGAATTCATAATCTACTGAAAGAACTACACAATGAAGACGTTTTAAAGTGAGGAAAAATTTTTGTAGATGCTACTTAATTTTTTAATGGTCACCAGCCTTAACTGATATTCTATAGATAGGCCTAATGTAAATTTTGGATGAAATTTTGAAATATCTGAACATTTGTTTTGGCAAATGTCAGGGTGTCTTTTGGACTGAAAATACCTTTGTTAGTTTCAGACGATCAGACAGTTTTATATGCAAAATGACTTTCTGGAGAAACAAGCATTTCATTAGGCAGCTGCCTGGAAATGTTAAGAGATGCTAATTGCTTGGCAGACTTGGAGGAGCAGGGAGCACAGAGGGATGCTCTTGTTACCCCAATTCATGGAAAGCAGAAAGTGACACTAAGCCGAAGCTAAGAAATCTGTTTTCTGGTTGTGATGCTACTTTCTTGATTCTTAAAGGAAGCTTTATATGTTTTCTGGTAAAACAGGTAAAAATTCAAGACAGAGCAGAACAATTTAAATTCTCAAATTCTGGAGAATCTCAAACCAAGTAATTGTCCTTGAAGGACCAGATGTCTCTCCCAAGAAATCATCATTCTTACAATTAAAAAATCCTCCAATATTATTAATAAGTACTAAACAAATAATATCACACTTTGAGATAGTTAATTGCTGCTCGTCAGTTTGAGTCCTAAGAAGCAATAATACGATAAGTACCTACCTACACATTATAGCTAATAAGCTGCTATCAGATCTTTACTAAAAAAAAATTATTGATTTTTTGGCCATATTACTGCACATTTATACCTTAAACACTCAAGTCTTTAGTTAAGAAATTGCATCATTCATTGCTTAAAAAATGAAACAGCCTGCTGAATAAATGTCTTCTAATTATTAAATAACTACATTTTAGGTTTTTCAGAGTATTTGAATAGTTTCAAGAGTTATTTGGGTCTTAAACAAAACATGGTATTCTCAACAGTTATTTATGCCTCATAACAAAACCAAAGCACATTTACTGAGTGTTTTTCAATGTGTCAGGTACTGTTCTAGTGATTAGCATCTATTAGCTAATTTAATCCTTATGATGATCATATCAGGGTGGTGCTATCATTATCATCCTCCTCAATTTACAGAAAAGAAAACAGACACATGGAATTCAAGTAACGTGCCTAGAGTCCTACAGTCAGGAGATTGGTAGAGCAAGAGTTGAACCCAATTAGTCTGAATCCAGCACCTATACCTTACACACTACATCAATGTTTCTCAAACTTCGGTTTGCATCAGAATTACTCAAAGCTTGTTAAAATACAGGTTACTGGGTCCCAGTCCCAAAGTTCTTGGTTCAATATCTATAAAGTAGGGCCAGAAATTTGCATTTTAATAAGTTCCTAGATAATGCTGATGCTACTGGTCTGGAGTCTACATTCGAGAACTTTGCACTGTGCTATAGTAGCATTTAATTTACTTAGAATCACCATTTCTTCCACTGAGATAGACTGTAGTCTCTTTGAGGGCAGAGAGAGTATGTGTTGTATTCAGTTTTCAACTTCCTATAGCTAATGTTTGCAAGTAGCAAGTACCCAGTGTCTGTTCGAAGTATGAATGAATGAAAGACTCTCCAGAGTTTCTCTTTAAAATGCGAAGACCCTGGCAGTAGTATTTAACTAAGTTGTCATTTTATAAATAATTTAGCATGAATTCCTTTATTATAAATTAACAAATTAACCACCTGAAAACCCTGGAAGCAGAAGAGAGACACTGAGAAGAGAGAAGATTCTTCCTTTTTCCAGGAATAACCCTGCTGGGAAAATGTGAATGAGTTTATAAAATCCTTAGAAAAGGTTGAAGGTGACAGAAGGAGCCAAAGCTTTAGAGACAGGTAAATAAGGGTTCAAATAAGGGTTTAAAATGCTGGTCCTGGTGCTTACTAGCTGTATGACACTGTGCAAAAATAGAGTGTGACCTTTATTTTCTCAACAGTAAAATCTCCTGACTCATCAGATTACTATGAAAATCAAGTAACTTAACTTATATAAATCATACACCAGCAGTGACTGGTACTCACCAAAAGTTAGTTTTCTTTCTTCTCTAACACTTCTGATTCATGCTATACATTAACACCAGATTTTCCACTTTGGCAAGAAAGTAGAAAAGATAGTAAAAGAATGAAGGAAGCAATATGTGCCTTTCTCTATCATTATATAACATATAGAATACACTTAGGCTACCTATTAAGATGGTTTACATTATAGTTGTACCTTTCATATTTGATGGAGTTGAAAATCAAAGATTAATTTCATTAATTATTAGATTTTTTATTATTCTCTTGCACCACATATCCAGGTTAAATTATATTGGCTGTGGCTATGTAATCAAGATCAATAATACTTAAAATATCAGAGGTGCAACCTTTCTCATTTTAGTGTATTCCCAGATTATTCTTAGAAGAGGTTTATCTTCTCTACCTTTAAAAAAGAGATGCTAAAACGCAAACATGTGAAATGATTAAAAGAAAAGTCATATGTTGTTAGAATTCAGCTATTCAACGCCCACTACAGTGCTTTCTATCTGTTAGGTGTTGCTTCTTCATTGAATTACAAATAATAGAACTGACATATTCCTGTTCATTTGTATTAACCACACTACAAGTTTTGTTATTATAATAGTATAGAAAAATGTTCGTGTCTTAGAAATTACCTGCTCATCATATGTTTTAAGAAGATCATTTGATGCAACCTCTAATTTAGAACCGTATTCCTTTTTTAAACCATTGTGTTTAGCACTTCCCTTTTCCTCAGCCCATGGTACCTGGTTTTGGCAGGAAGTAAGTGACATGGTAATGTAGAGGAGGCTTCTAGATGCCAGTCCAGCTCAGCAAGTGTATTTAGTTGACTAGGATTAGTATACGTGTTATAGTAGTCCCTTTGCACTTTCATGTTTTTAGAAACAATTTTCCAAGCACATTTCTAAGATTTAGAGTCAGTTTTAAACAAAAGCATCTTTTGCTTTAAATCTCTAGTTTGTGTGCTTTCTCTGAATAAACAAAACAAAACAAAACTGACAATAATGATCAAAATGAATTGTTTAAAACATTTGCTGCTTTCTGCCCAATTATGCAGATAACACCTTCCATGCATAAAATGTCTCATTTTTCTTGAAAACATCCCCTTCCCTCTGGCCGTTGTGGTCCCTGTTTTCTTGTTGTACTCTATGGACCATTGCAGAGAACGGGGCTGGGAGGTATTCTAAGAATGCTGTAAAGCATTTCAATGATTGCTGCCACAATTGTGTTTGGCACATCCCTGTAGTCACAGATTCGTGAGGAATTCATATGCTCACACTTTTTTACTGTAAATGATTAAAAAACCCTCCCTGTGGCTTTATATTTTTAATGGTGCTCACTTCAAAACCTTGCAGCCTTATGAAATGTCCTTTATAATGAGACCTCATTTTTTTTAGATGTCAACACCTAAAGATGTAAATACGCTAAGGTACTTGATAATAGGCAATGAACATTTTCACCTTTAAGTCGTTAGCTACAAGCTAGCCTAAATTAAGAGCAATAGATTATTTATTATCGATAAAATAATTGTATCTCTAAAGTGCAGTGGAGCTTACTGATTGCCAAGAAGAATCTAAATAAATATTCCTTTGTCTTCAGTGACAGCAGGCCTCAATCATTGCTTCTAAACCTTCATTCAGTCCCAATAGGCCTGTGGCCTATGATATGGTCCCATTTGTAACACAGGCTCCCTATATGATGTGGTGAAGAACTAGGTAGTATCTGAAACTGAGACTAATTAATTGCTTGAGCTTATCATTTAACATATATTTATTGAGTATTTACAATGGCCTAGGAATGGTTCTAGGTGCTGGGGAAAAATCAGTGAATGAAACAAGGTCTCCACACTCGTGGAGCTTATATTCTAGTGCAGGAAGTTGGACAATACAAAAATAAATGTGAGATATAATTTCTTTCTTTTTTTTTTTTTTTTGAGACAGAGTCTCACTCTGTTGTCCAGGCTGGAGTACAATGGCACGGGCTCGGCTCACTGTAACCTCTGCCTCCTGGGTTCAAATGATTCTTGTGCCTCAGCCTTCCCAGTAGCTGGGATTATGGGTGTATGCCTACACATCCAACTAATTTTTGTATTTTTAGTAGAGATGGGTTTCACCATGTTGGCCAGACTGCTCTCGGACTCCTGAGCTCAGGTGATCCACCTGCCTCAGCCTCCCAAAGTCTGGGATTACAGGTGTGAGCCACCATACCCAGCCGTGTGATATAATTTCAAGTGGTGATAAATACTATAGAGGAAAAATAAAACAGGGTAAAGGAATAGAGATTCATTGGGGAGAAGGCCTAGTTTATATAGAAAAAATGAATAGTATTAGAACCTTCAATAGGTAATATTTCTTAAAAAGAGCCTTGGCCGGGCTGGTGGCTCATGCCTGTAATCCCAGCACTTTGGGAGGCTGAGGCAGGTAGACCACCTGAGGTCAGGAGTTCGAGACCAGCCTGGCCAACATGGTGAAACCCCGTCTCTACTAAAAATACAAAAATTAGCTGGGTGTGGTGGCACACGCCTGTAATCCCAGCTACTCAGGAGGCTGAGGCAGGAAAACTGCTTGAACCTGGGAGGCAGAGGTTGCGGTGAGCTGAGATTGTGCCCCTGTACTCCAGCCTGGGTGACAAGAGTGAGACTGTCAAAAAAAAAAAAAAAAAAAAAAAAAGCCTTGGTAATTCTAATGTAAAAATAGTAGCACAAAAATTCTTTGTTGAATTTAATGAAGGAAACACTGTTTCCTCTATATTCCACAAGAATTATTGTCCTAAAAGGCCTCCCATGGGCTTTGATTAAGAGGTAAGAATTTCAAACTCAGGAGAGAGGATAGTGGTAATGGTGGTGGATGCTCTGTATAGCGAAATCTTTAGTAGGAAGCCCTCTCAAGCACAGGGATCACTAATGTAAAAAGTGTAAATTAAGCTTTTATGTCATGTTCAGGGACAATGTGACCTAAGTAACAGTGATAGTCATTTCACTGCAAGCACTTGAAGTCCATGAGATCTGATATCAGTATGTGTGATCATAAAGAATAGAAAAATATTGATACAGGCATACCTCATTTTATTGTAGTTCATTTGATTGTACTTCACAAATACTGCATTTTTTAGAAATTGAAGATTTGTGGTAATCCTGAATTAAGAAAGTCTATTGGCACCATTTTCCCAACAGTATGTGGTCACTTTTTTTCCATGTGTCATGTGTTGGTAATTCTTATAATGCTTCAAACTTTTCATTATTATGATATCTGTTATGATAATCTGTGGTCAGTGATCTTCGACGTGACTTTTAAAATTCTTTTAGGGCTTCATGAACCATACTTGTGTAAGATGGCACACTTAATCAACAATTGCTTTATGTGTTCTGACTGCTCCACCGGCTGGCTGTTCCCCCATCTCCCATCCTCTTCTCAGGCCTCTGTATTCTCTGAGACACAATAGTTTTGAAATCAGAATAATTAACAATCTAACAATAGCCCCGAAAAGTGCTCAAGTGAAAGAAAGTGTCACACATCTCTCACTTTAAATAAAAAGGTAGAAATGAATAAGCTTAGTGAGGAAGGCATGCCAAAAACTGAGATGGGCCAAAAGCTGAGCTCCTTGTGTCAAACAGTTACATACGTTGTGAATGCAAAGGAAAAGTTCTTGAAGGAAGTCAAAAGTGCTACTCCAGTGAACATACAAATGATAAGAAAGACAAACAGCCTTATTGCTAATATGGAGAAAGTTTTAGCAGTCTGGAAGATAGAAGATCAAGCTAGCCACAGTATTCTCTTAAAGTAACCTTTAATCCAAGCAAAGCCCTAAATCTCTTTAATTTTGTGAAGGCTGAGAGATGTGAGGAGGCTGCAGAAAAGTTTGAAGCTAGCAGAAGCTGGTTCACGGGGTTTAAGGAAATAAGTTGTCTCCATAACATTAAAGTGCAAGGTGAAGGGCTGATGGAGAAGCTGCAGCAAGTTATGCCGAAGATCTGGCTAAGATATTGATGAAGGTGGCTAGACTAAGTAGCAAATTTTCAATGCAGAGGAAAGAGGCTTCTATTGGAAGAAGATGCCAACTAGGACTTTCATAGCTAGAGAGAAGTTAGTGCCTGGCTCCTTATCTTCAAAGGACAGGTTGACTCTAGTTAGGGGCTAATGCAGCTTTTGATTTTAAGTTGAAGCCAGTTCTCATTTCCCATTTGGAAAATCCTAGAGCCCTTAAGAATTATGCTAAATCCACTCTGCCTGTGCTCTATAAATGGAAAAACAAAGCCTTGGATGACAGCACATCTGTTTACAGCATGGTTTGCTGAATCTTTTAAGCCTACTCTTGAGACCTACTGCTCAGAAAAGAAAAGACTCTTTAAAATATTACTGTTCATTGATAATGCACCTGGACACTCAAGAGCTCTGATGGAGATGGACAAGGAAATTAATGTTGTTTTCGTGTTCACTAACACAATATTCTTTCTGCAGCCCATGGATCATGAAGTAATTTAGACTTTCAACTCTTATTTAAGAAATACATTGGTAAGGCCATTTCTGCCATTCATAGTGATTCCTCAGATGGATCTGGACAAAGTAAATTTAAAACCTCTGGAAAGTATTCACCGTTCTAGGTGCTATTAACAGCATTTGTAATTCATGGGAGGAGGTCAAAATATCCACATCAGCCTTTTGCAAGAAGAGTTTGGAAGAAGTTGATTCCAATCTTCATGAATGGCTTTGAGAGGCTCAAGACTTTAGTGGGGGAAGTAACTGCAGATGTGGTGGAAATAGTAAGATAACTAGGATTAGAAGTAAGCCTCAGAGAGTTAGCTCTTTATTGCTGAAAAATGTACTTCAGAAAAAAAATATGCTAAATGACTGGATTACTGTCATCTCATTATAAAACTAATTGATGAGCAAAGAAAGTGGCTTCTCAAGATGGAATATTCTCTGGGTGAAGATGCTATAAACATTATTGAAAGGGCAACAACAGATTTAGAATATAACATAAACTTACTTGATTAGGCAGTGGCAGGATTTGAGAGAACTGACTCCAATTTTGAAAGATGTTCTACTAAGTGGGTAAAATGCTATCAAACAGCATATCATACAACAGAGAATCTTTCACGAAAGAAAGAGTTAATCAATTCAGAAAACTTTATTGTTGCCTTATTTTTTTAAAAATTACCATAGCCAGCCCAGCCTTCAGCAACCACCACCCTGATTATTCAGCAGCCATCAACATGAGGGTGAGACTCTTCACCAGCAAAAAGATTACAACTTGCTGAATGGTCTGATGATCATTGCCATTTTTTAGCAATAACGTATTTTTAAATTAAGATGTGTACATTTTTTAGACATCATGTTATTAAACACTTATAGACTATAGTGTGAACATAACTTTTATATGTACAGGAAGTCAAAAATTGTGTCATTTGCCTTATTGCAATATTCACTTTATTGCAGTGGTCTGGAGCCAGAATCACAATATCCTTGAGATATGCCTGTACACAGAAAAATTTTCAAATACATAAATCAAGGCTTTTTAAGTGGTTATGGGCAGCACTAAATAAGATAAGGAATAAATGGGTCTCAAATAATTAGTTCTTCATTGCGGAAAAATGTACTTTGGGAAAAAGCATATTCTCCATCACATTAGTATATAAACTACAGTATATAAAGAGCCCAAAGCCTACTGTAATTTCTCATCGCATGCTCTCTAATGAATGTAATATGCTTCTACATCAAGAATATTTGATGGATTGAACATCTCTGTTTTTCAACTCGAGTCCCCATTACTATATGAAAGGTTCTCGAAGCATTCTATGAGTTGACCTCCTTGGAAACATGAATATTGAATGGGAAATGCCTTACAACTTAATATTCTATCCCTCTCAGAGGATATCTTTATTTATATAAGAACTAAAGCTTTAAAGGAAAGGCAGAAAGTTTTTTATGAGATTTCAAGACATCAGGGAGGTAAAGGAGATCTTTTGAGGAGGTCCTTAACATTTTACCAGCTTGTAATTTTACTTAAGAGTAGTGAGAGGTATTCTAATTGCAGGAATGGGAAGAAAACTTCGCCTTTTTGTTAACTTTATTGAAGGTCAGATTTTCTTTTTAAACTTGTCTATATTTATCTGTTATACACTCACTACTCACAGTTAAAGCTTACTGCTTCACTTACTGAACTAATTCGGAAACACACATGCATGCACATACGCACATAGGAAGAGAAAGAAAGAATACCACAAATAAAGCCCAAATCATTCCTGTTCAACCTTCACTGCATCTTTTACACTTAATTGTATTAAACTGTCAGCATTTCACTAGTTTCTTCTTTTTTGTAATGCTTCACTGAGAGTACTACAGCTTACAAAAAGGAACTTTTATCCATAAAAGAGCTTTTCTATTGAATGAATCAGAAGATAAAACCAATGCACTTTAAAAATATCTCTCTATCATTTTTTCTCAGCTTGTTGCTCCAGACCTCGAGTTTAAACTAGTTCGAAATCAATCAACTCACTCAGAAGTAGAATGAAAGACTTCTCAGAAGAAAGTGAGAACACAGGAAAATATATATTTTTAAATTGCCGATCGTCCCTTACATCTCAGACAGAATTTTTCACTGTCTCGCACAGAATCAGGGCACGTGGTGAAGCATTTGGAAAGCGGATGCTGAGGTCAAGCAGCAAGCATTGGCACATAAATTGCAAGGCAGATTGAGAATTATTAGAGAGGAGAGTAAAACAAAGGGAAAAATAAGTGGCTACTCCATGAAAATAAAATCTATCTTTCATTAGTTCTCATCTAGGATGTAGTGTTAATTGAGAGTAAATATGGATTGATCTCAGAAAAGCAGTCAATTTACAATTTTACAACTCATAGAAACACTATAAAATAAGAATATAAACTCCTTGAGGTAACAAAGTATGTTTTCTACTTTCTTTTCAGACACTCAGAGAGTTGTCTTTACATAGGTGCATAATGAATTCCTTAGGAATGACCTATTAGATTAATTTTGGGGAAATTCATTCGATTAAGAATTATAAAACTATAGAATCCCAAGCTTAATGTTTCTCACAGTTAGTAATATTTCTAATGGCGACTTAGTGACAATCTAGAAACATGTTGAGGATGCCCAATAGGAGTAAATCCTTCTAACATTGAATATGAATATGAAATAGAAGAAATTAGAAGTGCTCCCAGGTGACCAAACCTCACTGTTCACTGTGTGCACTGGTGAAGGCTTTAGGAGTAAAGGATTAACAGTGCTTGTGTGTGTGCTGTGTCAGAATCATCAGTTAACCAGGAGACTATCATGCACTTAGTAATCACAATGACAAAAGGAGAGCCTTGGCTTAGAGGGAAGGGAATTCGTTGGAGACATATATTACCATTAACTGAGGTAGAACAGAACTCGTTTTCTTTCAGTTTCTCTTTTCTGACTGGCCATCCTTATTTTTTTTTCTCTTTTGTTAACCTCATTTTTATGAGTGCTCTGAAAATACTGGTTATTGATTTTACAGTTATGAAGTTGATAAATGCTGAAGTTTCTGCCCTAGGACAACCTTTTAAAATAAAATTGTGAAAAGATGGAACGTTACTAAAAGAAAGTAGCAACATCCATTAATGTCTGTTTCTGTTATATATTTGTATATCATAATAATATTATTAGTAATTGAAGCTTCCTAACTCATTCATTAATTAGCCTGTTCATAAACTTGAGCTGTGTATCCACTCTGTGCCAGGCACTGCGCTTGGGACCAAGAATTAAAAGATGCATATCTTACTCCATTCTCCAGGAGCTTTTATTTTCTGGGATACTAGTCCAGGACCAGTTGATGATGAAACTATCTTAAGTGGCATGCTACGATTTTGTAAAGAATATTACAGGGGAGTAGAGAAGGGTGAGCCATGCTTTCAAGGAAAAGGTAAAATATAAGTTAAGTCTTGAATTCAAACTGGAATTAGGTTGGGAGAGGAGGGTGTTAACTGAAGTTAGCTAAAATGTGGGTGCCAAGCATGGGCCTAAGTGAGTCACTGTACTGTCTCTAACTGCCCGTCCATCTCAGTGTTCTGCCTGCTAGGCCCTCAGTAAATAGAAGTTCAAGGAAGAAATCTACGTACATGGAATGGTAATGTTACAAATATAACTCTAAAATATTTGAGTAAAATAAGATTATTTTTACAGAGCCAACATAGTAGCTTCTTAGAGTCTTTGTCATTGTTTCTGGTGTTTTCTCCTCTTTTAGGTCTCTTCAGGAGTAACAGTAGTGTTCTCTTACATCAAGGAGTAAGAAAATTACAGAGCTAAAGAATAGGAGGAAATGAGATAGAAGTAATTCTAAAATCACAAATACTAGAAAAAAATTGCTAATGATTCATAAGGCATATTTTAGAGACTTCAATAGTAGTAGGCAGTCGTTCTGTAATTAATTCATGCAACTCAATTGAAGGTAGATGCATGTTCAATCCATGCTATTGTTTATATGAAATAAGTCCTTCAAACTAAAATTAAATACCTTTATGTATGAGGCTAGTTGAATTTCATAATATTATATTTTATGGTAAAAGTTACAGGGGTAGGCAAATATTACCGTAAATAGTTAATAATACTTAATATCTGCTAAGCATTGCAAAGGTGGTTTTTTAAAGGGAGATCAGGCAACAGTTCGAGTATGGGAAATCCTTTGTAGAATTTAAAAAATGGGTATCTTCTTTTGGCAAGAAGTAAAATGTATCCTCTATGTTTTGGTTTAGAATTTTGAGAATTTTTTTTTCCTGCTGAAACAGAACTGCCGTTGATCTTTGAACAATGTGGGGGTTAAGGGTACCGACTCCTGTGCAGTCAAAAATTCACATATAACTTTTGACTCCCCCAAAACTTTACTAATGACGTACTGTTGACCAGAAGCCTTACCAATAATGTAAATATTTGACTAACACATATTTTTTGTGTTATATGTATTATATATTGTGTTCTTAAAACAAGCTAAAGAAAATGTTATTAAGAAAATTATAAAAAATAGAAAATACATTTACTGTTTATGAAGTGGAAATGAATCATTATAAAAGTCTTCATCCTCATGGTTTCCCCATTGAGTAGGCTAAGAAGGAGGAGAAAGAGGAGGGGTTAGTCTTGATATCTCAGGGGTGACAGAGATGGAAAATGTGTAACAGTTGAGAGAGGAGGCAGGAGAGGCAGGCACACTTGGTGTAACTTTACAGAAACATCATAATTCCTATCATTTTGCTTTTTCAGTTCTCTAAAAATATTTCTACATGGAACCAAACCTTCTTCCACCATTTGCTTTAGTTTCAGTGCCCATATCGTAGAAAGGTCCATGTCATAAAAGAAGTCAAAAGCGGTCTTCAACATAACTCTTTTGACAGATTGCCTAATGTCAGTTTATTTTCTGGCGCTGTTTCTTCTTCGTCTTTTTCTTCACCATCTGGCACTGGATTGTAAACACTCATCTCCATCAAATCATCTTCTGTGAATTCCTCTATTGTGGTTTGGTGTCTATTAGCTTTTGAATTTCTCTAAGATGTATATTTTGAAAGCCTTCATCCCTTACTTTTTAATTTTGCCATATCCACAGTCTCTTTCATTATTTCCTTGATTGGTTCTGTTATAAATCCTGTGAGATCATACACAGCATCTGGACACAGTTTTGTGTTGTTTTTTTCCCAGCAGAAATTTATTGTTTCAGTCTTGATGGCTTTTATGGATTTTTCTGTAACAACAGCAGCATCTTCAATGGTGTAATCCTTCCAGATTTTCATGATATTTTCTCTTTTGGGGTTTGGTGACATATTAATAGATTGACAATTTTTTTCCATAGAGTACTGTGCATAATGAGCCTTAAAGGTCCTTATGATTCTTGACCTAGAGGCTGAATTACAGATGCTGTGTTTAGAGGCAAGTAGACCACTTCTATGACTTCACTGTTGAACTCATAGAGTTCTGGGTGGTCAGGGGCAGTGTCCAATATCAAAAGAACTTTAAAAGGCAGTCTGTTACTGTCAAGGTAACAAAGGATCAATAGAACCAATCCAGAAAAAGGGTTCTCCTCTTGAGGCCTTCTTGTTGTATAAGCAAAAGACTAGCAGATGGTATTTATCTTTTTCTTCAAGGCTTGGGGTTTAGGGGATTAGCTGTTTTACGGATAAGGGCAGTCCTCGTCGGAAGCCTGACTGTGTTTTCACAAAACAGTAGAGTTAGCCTATACTTTCCTGCCTAAACTCTGGTGCCTACTTCCTTACTAATTAAATGTCCTTGGAGGCTCTCCTTACCCTGAATAGAGCAGTTTTGTCTGCATTAAAAACGTATTCACATAATTATTCTTCCTCCTCAGTGATTTTCTTAATGATGTCTGAAAATGTCTGCTGAATCTTGAGAAGTGCTTCTCATGTTACCTTTTTTTTTTTTTAAGCCAAACCTTTATCTAAAACCATCCTTTGCTGGCATTAAATTCTCCAGCTTTAGATACTTCACCTCGTTTTTGCTTTAAATTGTCATATAATGACTTCATATTTTTCTTGAATCATATTTGAGTCGATAGGTGTGCCTTTCTTATAGCAATCCTGCACTCACATAAAAACTGCATTTTCAACGCAAGATAAAAATGTATATCACAGTAAGTGCAAGGTTCATCCCTGCTGGTATAACTGCAGTGACAGCTTTATATATATATATATATTCTTTTTTTTTTACAATGGTCCTTACGCTTTATTTATTTGTCTTGAAATGGCAGGCAACTGTGACTGTAGACCTCAATCTATCATACATATCAAGAAACTGAACTTTTTCTTGTAATGTTATGACTTTTCTATGCTTTTGAGAAGCACTTCCAGCATCACTAGTGTCACTTTGTATGGGTAGCATGGAGTTATTCAAGGTTTACAATATTGCACTAAGCACCACAAAAATATGTGAGAACTGCAAGATTGTCATTTACTGCTATAACATAATTTACTGAAAAATACAAGGATCTGCTCATGTGGAGATGATTAGCATCACAGTGTTTTAAGCAGATACTCTTAACACTTAAGCTCATCACAATAGCAACCAGAGGAGGCTACAAAGTTGTTATAATAGAACAGTATGTACTACAGTTAACTTTATGCAGTATCATTTAATACCACATTTAAAAAAATTTTAATTTTATTTTTAGATTCAGGGGTTACATGTGTAATTTTGTTACATATGCTGAGGTTTGGAATATGAATAATTCCATTCCTCAGGTAGTGAGCATGGTACCCAATAGTTAGTTTTTCAACTTTTTTCTCTTTCTTTCCCATCTAGTAGTCCTCAGTGTCCATTACTGCCATTTATATCCATGAATACCCAATGTTTAGCTCCCATTTATAAGTGAGAACATGTGGTATTTGGTTTTCAGTTTCTGTGTTAATTCACTTAGGATACTGGCTTCCAGCCACAGCCAGGTTACTGCAAAGTACATGATATCATTCCTTTTTATGGCTGCATAGTGTTCCATGTTATACTGCATCTTTACATTTGTTTACAGTTTTCTCAATAACAACTGTATGGTCTATAAGTCTTCATGTAAATTTTGATAAATTTTAACTTCATAATGTATTTGTATATATTTTATTGTACTAAGTGATAAAATAGACTAGTAACTACATATAGTCTATGCATTCATGACATACCTTTTTTTTTAACTTTAAAATATTCCTAGGCTACATGGTTTCTCTCAGTTTTTTCAAATCTTTGTAAATCTCCGAGTTTTTTTCAATAAATATATTGAAAAAATTTGCATATACATGGACTCATGCAGTTGAAACCTGTATTGTTCAAGGGTCAACTATTGTCATGTTTTAATACTACACATTGTTATCAAAAGTAATATAAAGCAAATGACCCAATAGTGACTATCCTTCCTCATCCTCCCCTCATTTCTCTTCTTTTCTCATGAGGTCTTAGGTGAAAATATGACAGTGAGGTTTTGACAGCCTTGAGAGATGTGGATAAATAGCTTGCTTTGTTTAAAATGAACAGATATCTCTTCTTTCATTTTCTAATAAATGTTTGGTATTGCTGACATATCAATGTGATTGGGTCATATGAGTAGTTGGGGATTTTTTTAAATAAATGTATTTCCTTCTGACCTAATTCAAGGAGCTTTTAGAAATCAATCCTAATATGCACAAGGCTCTGGACTAGCAGTTGTATAAATAATTTCTCTAATCCCCACAATAATTCTATGAGGTAGGTACATTTATCCACATTTTACAAATGTGGAAATTGAAGCTTATAATTAACTTCTAAGGAATGAAATAGGGATTTAAATCCAGTTTTTTAATTCCAAATCTAATGGTCTTAATTATGTTATATTACATTATAACATTATATTAAATTATCAATATTGTTATATTACAGTACACTTTTTTTTTTTTTTTGAGACAGAGTCTCACTCTGTTGCCCAGGCTGGACTACAGTGGCACGATCGCAGCTCACTGCAACCTCCATCTCCTGGGTTCAAGCGATTCTTGTGCCTCAGCCTCCCAAGTAGTTGGGATTACAGGCATGTGCCATCACACCCAGCAAATTTTTGTATTTTTAGAGGAGACGGGGTTTTGCCATGTTGGCCAGGATGGTCTTGAACCTAATGCCTCAAGCGATCCACCTGCCTCGCCCTCCCAAAGTGCTGGGATCACAGGAGTGAGCCACCATGCCTGGCCTATAGTTCACACGATTGTATTATTTACATCCTGGTATATTATTTGTGAGCAGGGGAAAATAGGGTTAAAGGTAGACTTTAGCAGCTGGATAAGTTTTTATTCACCCATGTAAATTAGACTTGCAGAGGCAAGTCTAAACTACCCCCATAAATTAACTAAACTTGGGCATTCCCTCTAACATATTTGATTCTTATGCATCTACACTTCTCAACTGAATTTCAGTATAAACTATATTTAGTTGGGCTTGAAAGAAACATAATACTTTACTGTGACTTTCAGGAAAGGATATGTGCACACAGTGTACCAACCTTCTAAATTAAATTTACAAAATAAACTAATCATTTCTAGTTGTCTCTGTTGTGCATAAAGCACAAGGAACGCTGGTGCTATTGTTCTCTGAGGGCTTTTTATGCACTGTGACAGGGTGAAGTATTGCTGTAGGAAAGAGACTGGAACAGAGGAGTCTGGTCCTACAAGTCACCTCGTGTCTCACCTCGTTAATATCAGTGGAGTCTAAGAAGGTCCGACACCTGTATGTGATTCAGGGAATTAAGATCAAAGAGATTCTTCCATGGTCTGACTTTGGTTTGCACTCCCAAGCGTACCTTGCTCTTGCAAATCTATTTTTCATTTTCTCCGTCTGTAAAAAGAGGCTCGCTGCTTTAACTAGAGGCAACAAAACATGGAAGTAGAATCGATGAGTCATAAATTAGTGATTCAAAGATTCGTTATGTGTAAGCTAGAGAGGATACCTATTTAGGGCATGGCATTATTAAAAGTGGTCATTGGTTGTGTTCATTGATTTAGTTGTCACCACAATTCATGTTATGGAAAATAAACATATCCATTAAGAGAGTTACTCTGGTAAGCTCTGCAAATCCACCTCATCTAACACAGAGATGACAATTCTATCTTTAAGACAGAGAACTTAAGTAAAATTACCACTCTTCTTTACAGGTAGTATATGGCTGCCTGCCAATGGTTCTAACTCACTGAGTAACATCTGAGAGAAACCAGGAAGAACTAAAATGCATGAGTGATACATGAAAGAAATCAAATGACAAAGGGGGAGTTCTAGGAGAGGAAAGCCATTAGCAGAAATATTATTAAGCATGTAGAAAGACCTTCGCTTATAAAACATTTTATAATCTTTTTTAAATAAATTTGATTTGGCAGGCTTTCATTAGCAATGTCAATTTTGTGATATTGTTCTCTCAGACATTTAGGCTGAATATTTTTGCTTTAATATATTGGAGGGTCTTGCTGACATCAACTTGCCTTTAAGACAGAGGCATCAAAGTACTCTGAAAGGTCACACTAACAAAATTACATGTGACCTCTCAGCTGAGAGCTCTAACTGATATATATTTTTAAAATTTTCCCTTTCTTCCCTGGAGGTTTTCATGACAGCATTCTCCCCTTTTAGAGTTTGACGAAATAAAGCTTATATCTTTACCATTTTTACCAATTAATACCATTAATACCTTAATAAAGATGATAAGTCAGTCACAGATTGAGACAGGGATTTAGCTTTAAATTAGTTCCAGTTGTGGAGTTACTTCCCCGTTGTCAGCAGGAAATTTCCACACCTAATTGTATTCACATGTTTGGATCATAGGGACAATGAAATACAAGATTCTTTCTTTTAACAAATTTAAGGCTATTTTAAACACTATACAATAGTTAAATATAAGTATTATGGAATACGTAACATTTGTATATTTTGTTTTTTCAATGAGTCAGAAATAGCAATGTCCAGAAACTTTATAGATTAAGATTTTGAATTATATATAGAGCAAAATTCCTTGGTTTTACTCCATATTTTGTGGACATTCTGTAGTTCAACTTGCATGTTCAATTTTAAGTAGTCTAGGTTGGGGTAAACTAGACCCTATTGGCTAAATCCTGCTTCCCACCAGTTTACATATATAAAACTTCAGAAGCAGAGAGCGCCCCTTTTATTTATGTATTGGTTGTGTTTATGTACTGCTTTTGTGCTACAACAGCAGAGTGGATTACTTGTGGTGGAGACTGTACGGGCTGCAAGCCTAAAATACTTACTATTTCGATTTTTTCAAAAAATATGTTTTGACCCTTATTTTGTAAAATGCAAGCAGGAATTCTAGTCCTCATTTATTATAATAAAAATTATAAAGGTTTATGTATGTAATATATAGGAAGTCATACAACTAACATTTCTTGAATTTACATTAGATGCCAAGCAGAGTATTTATTGCCTGCACAAATAGAGATTAAAATTTGAAATTAAGAATATTCTATCAAAAATTTCTCATCTCCAAACTTTTTATTGCTATGTTTCTCAGCAACCTAGAAAGTTGCCAACAATTCAACCCACAAAGTGAAGTTTTAACTCACTAGAGAAAGATTCAATTCCATTTTATTCCATTTCAATTACATATGGGAAGCTGGCCTTTGCATTTGCACATAAGCCAACCTAAGGTATTTAAAGTGAGACATATGTATTACTCTTCTCAGAATTCATTTATCAACCAAGTTACAGCAATCAAAGAGGATTAAGAGAGGAAAATTCTTTTACTGTATGCAATGTTATGCAATGTACCAAATCAAGGGAAAGGATAGCAATATTATAATTCTATGGCTCTAAAAATATGTAGATCCCAAATCGTTTAAATTTTTTTTTCATGGACATAACACTATATATTTCATAAGTAGGATGTGAGAGTGCCTCTGAACTGCTAAAAAAAAATTTAGAGAGTGCAGAGTTCAAAAAACTAAGAAATAACTGTTGAAGTGGGATGATTATGATTCCCCCTCTTCAATGTGTTTTTCCTGGTTTGGCACAAGCACAAAGGTTAAGCGATTACCTGCATTTTAGGCTTTGGTTTTTTTAGTTTTGGTTTTTTATTTCTAAAGTAATCATTTTCAAGCAGAAAACTGGACCACTGATGGGAACTATTTTAAAATAAACAACTTCCAAGAGCAACATAAGAACATAATTCATTGGAAAGTTGTTACTGTAACAAATGTGCTCATTTCCCAACTTGCACATTCAACCATTTTAAATGCTGTATAGATTAATTCATAGCCGAGGGAAAGGAAAGGTTTTCTAGACTTTAAACTATTTATTAAGCACTATGGCACAAAGTGTTATAAGTAAATTTATCTTAAGTTCAACCGAATGGGCCCAACACAGTACATTTTTAAATTGGCAAAAATGTTATATCCACTGTATAACTACAGCATGGATTACATTACAGATACATTTATTTTAACCAACTCCTGTAAAATTTTGCTGACCTTTCACTTGCTTTAGTTACATTTGTTATTACATAAAAAGGTGAACCTAGATTATAAAAATATAAAGGCATGAATTTATTTCATGTTTTATCAGATTTTTCTTCTGAGCCAATTTTCTTTTAGGCTTGGTCTCAGAGTACTAGTAAGGATAGTCTCATGCACTCAATCAGAATTGAGGTGGGAGTATATAGGAAGGGTTCATTTCTCCCTACGTAATGTCATATATGGAAATTCAGTGGGAAAAGTGTGCTTAAATATGTATGAGAATAGCAAAGTTTTCTATGTAACCACCACACCCCCCATCCCTACCACCACAACCAAAAACGTATTGTTTCTAAAGGTATTTGTCCTACAACCTAGCCTTCTTTTTTCTTTTCTGTTCTTTTTTTCTTTTCTTTTGTGTACAGCTCTTACTATCCCCTGCCATTTTTTATAATTTACTAATTTGTTATATTTACTGATTATTGTCTGTCTCTCCTGCTGCACTATAAACCATATGAGGGCAGGGACTTTATCTATTTTGTTCCTGCTATATCTGATGTTTCTGGAACATGCCTGACACATAGTAGAAATTGAGTACATGTTTGTAGAAGAAAAGCAGGAAAGAAGAAAGTAATGGCTACCCTTTTGAAAAATCATTGATTATCATGATATGTAAGATATAGCAACATAATGAAGCAAATCAACAAAATTAGTAAGAACCCGGAGGTAACTCTTTGCTTTCTTCTCTTCCATGAGGATTATATTTTCCCTAACAATAAGACTTGATTGAGAACATGTTGGTGGGAACTGAAATCCAGTCCACACTCCACTTGTCAAATCCTGAGCCCTGATATCATTTGTCTTTGTCCAGAGAGTAAGTCTTTTCCTAATTAACATAGAAGCCCAATGTAGAGCAGCTGTAGCCTTTGCATTTACTCATCATTTGCTATAATCATCATTTTTGGACTGATGTTCTGTCAATTCAAGAAATAATTTTTCTTATTCAAGCATTTGACACTGATGATTTGCCGTAAATTGAGCATTTTTTTTCTATTACAGCAATTTGCAGATTATTATTTTTTGAGATGGAGTCTCGCTCTTGTCACCTAGGCTGAAGTGCAATGGTGTGAACTCGGCTCACTACAATCTCTGCCTCCTGGGTTCAAGCGATTCTCCTGCCTCAGCCTCCTGAGTAGCTGAGATTACAGGTGCCTGCCACCATGCCCGGCTAATATTTGTATTTTCAGTAGAGACGGGGTTTTGCCATGTTGTATTTTCAGTAGAGATGGGGTTTCGCCATGTTGGCCAGGCTGGTCTCGAACTCCTGACTGAGGTGATCTGCCCACCTCAGCCTCCCAAAGTGCTGGGATCACAGGTGTGAGCCACCGTACCCAGCCAATTATTTTTTTACTTAAAGTCTTATTTCAGTCTTTAGGAGAAAAACATTTTAGTTACCCCTCACTGTAAAATTCTGCCATATTAAATGACTCAATGAATGAGGACTTCCCCTGCATACTGGATACAATAAATTCTTTTTCTGAAATAGCGATGAATTTTGCTGTAGACTGAATAATTGGCTTCAATTCTTTACCTCTCCCAGTGACCACATTTTCACTATGGTTTTTCATGGGCAGAAGTTTTTTTCTGCCCTTTGAGTTGGGGCTTAGAATATGGCTTGCTTTAGTCAACAGCACATTGTCGAAAGTGATGTTGTATTTTTAAAAGATGGAATGAATGATTGAGATCATACGATCATCTCAATACATGCTGAAAAAGCACTTAACAAAATTCAACATTCTTTTATGATAAAAACTCTGCCCAAATTAGGTATAGAAAGAGAGTACTTCAATGTAATAAAGGCCTTCTAGGACAAACCTATCGCTAACATCATATTTCACTATGAAAAGCTAAAAGCTTTTCATATAAAATCACGAACAAGATAAGAGTACCCTCCCCTCAAGTCAATATAGCGCTTGAAGTCCTAGCTAGAATAATTAGGCAAGAAGGCATAATAAAAGGCATACAATTCAAAAAGGAAGTAAAATTATCTCTATTTGCAGATGACATGATCCTATTTGCAGAAAACTTAAAAGACTTCACCAAGAAACTGTTAGAATTAATGAATACATTCAATAAAGTTGCAGGATATAAAATCAACATACAAAAATCGGATGCATTTTTATACACTAAACAATGAACTATCTAAAAAAATTTTTAATCCCATTTACAATGGCATCATAAACAATAAAATACTTAGGAATAAATTTAGTCAAGGAGGTGAAAGATCTGTACACTGAAAAGCATAAACCAATGATGAAAAAAATGGAATAAATCACAAATAAATGGAAAGATATCCATTCGAAGAATTCTTGAGAGAATCACTTGAACCTGAGAAGTTGAGACTGCAGAAAGCCAAGATCACGCCACTCAACTCTAGCCTGGGTGATGATGAGACAGTCCGGTGGGAGAGGGTCTCTGGAAAACCTCCAACTAGCCTGCCCCCTAGAGTGGAGATTCGGGAAGTTCCTGACATTTGCAGCGGGGAAGAGCCTGGCCCCTCCTCTTCCTGTGTGGAAACTGGGATTTGAACGGCGGGCAGGAAGTACTCGAGTAGGGAGTCTGGCCTAGTGAAAGTCTCTGTTTCCTCCTTTTCTTACTTTTCACTCAATAAAACCCTGCTTTACACACCCTTCAAACCATCTGTGAGCCTGAATTTTTACGGCCATGGGACAGACAAGGATCCTGTCTTTATCTAAACTAAGGAAAAGTCCTGCAACATTTGTGGTGCACAACGTGGGGCTCGAGAAGTGGTAAGTGAAATGGGGACTCAAAACCTCTCACTGTTGCTCCTAAGCATTTTTATCCTTGGAGTTCAGAGGGTGGGGGTAACATGCCCCCCAAACCCTATTGCTCCCGGGGGGCCTGGGGAAAGGCCCTTTCTTTCCTTTTTCAGAATGAGCAGGCAAGTGGGGGCTCCTCGCTCCCCCTCCCCTCCTCTCCCTGCCAGGGCTGGGACACATGGCCCAGGGGTCCCACACAGCTAGTTGGCTGGCTGGTTCCCAGCCACAAGCTGCTGCAGCCTTCCCCTTCCCCAGCCAAAGGGTTTTACTCCATGGGACAGTAATGAAGCTTAAACTTTTCTCCCCGGTGAAGGAACCACTTGCATAAGAATAAGAGGTTTTCACAGGCTTTTTTTTTTTTTTTTTTTTTTTTTTTTGAGACGGAGTCTGGCTCTGTCGCGCAGGTGGAGTGCAGTGGCGCGATCTCGGCTCACTGCAAGCTCCGCCTCCCGGGTTCACGCCATTCTCCTGCCTCAGCCTCCCGAGTAGCTGGGACTACAGGCGCCCGCCACCACGCCCGTCTAATTTTTTGTATTTTTAGTAGAGATGGGGTTTCACCGTGTAAGCCAAGATGGTCTCGATCTTCTGACCTTGTGATCCACCCGCTCGGCCTCCCAAAGTGCTGGGATTACAGGCCTAAGCCACTGCGCCAGGCCAAACAGGCATTTTTAACTGTTTCTTTTCTTTGCTTTTCTCCACCCTGCGGGCAGTTAGCTTTTAAAGTTTTTTTTTTTCTTTTAGAAGACTTTTTACTAGGCCACCCCCCCCCTCACCACACCCCCAAATATCGCTGTGGGTATTCTCTGCAAAGTTTTGGCTGAAATCAAGCTTCCATCTTTTTTTTTTTTAATCCTGAGGGCATGGCTTGTAACTCCTGTGGCATGGCTTCCTTTAGCAACCCTGCCCGGAGGGGTAAGTTTTTTTCTGGTTTGATGGGTGCGTGTTTTCCTAGCCCTGTCTCTTAACGGGCCCCACCCAGCGACTGGGTTTTCTTCTGCCTATGTGTGTACTGTGTGTGATGTCTGTGAAAATAGTCCTAATTAATTTGCCTAAAGAAAGACAGGTGGGCGGATCACGAGGCCAGGAGTTCTAGACTAGCCTGGCCAACATGGTGAAACCCCGTCACTACTAAAAAAAAATTAGCCGGGTGTGGTGGCGGGCACCTGTAATCCCAGCTGCTCGGGAGGCTGAGGCACGAGAATCGCTTGAACCTGGGAGGTGAAGGTTGCAGTGAGCCGAGATCATGCCACTGCACACTGCACTCCAACCTGGGCAACAGTGTGAGACTCCGTCTCAAAAAAAAAAAAAAGACAGACGAGCACTTAGACCAAGTATTTTTTTAAGGGAAATTAAAAGCTGTGGTACCTTTCAGTTCATGTGACTTTAATCTTTGAGAAATAAAAGCAGCCTTAAAGATTATTGGTAAAATGCAGCTGTCATTATAATGTAAATATGGGAATTAAACTATGCAGGTCAGATGCAAAGTTTGTTAAGTGTTTTGAAGTTACAAACTGCTTTTTGGGTTTTGAGAACTGTTTGACTTGGTGGCTTCACAATTGGTAAGGCCTGGGGACATAGGAAACTAACCATGCCCTTAATTAAGAAGGCAAACCTTGACTACACTTAGCACACAGTGAAAGCAACTTACCGAGTTTTATCTTAAAGTTAAAAATTGCTAGTTCATTGAAACTACTAGAAATAGATTTACCTGCAAGGTGTGTAAGAACAGTAAAATGTGTTTTTTTGCAAGTGGTTATAAGAAGGCATGGAAATGTAAACTTTTACCTAGGGTTAAAGGATCGTTTTACTTAAATTAGGCAAAAGCTGAAGGTTCAAAGAAGGGGTGGAAGAACTGTAGAAATTAATCTTGTGGAAGAGGTTCTCTATGTGAACATATTGACTAAATTCAAAAAAGGGTATTATATGGTTTTTCTGTAAATCGAGCATTGAAATAAAAGCATAATAAGGTTTTCCTAAGGTGCTAATCTGCTCCTTGGCAGAATTTCTAAAGGGGTGTAAAAGGTTTTTGCCTTTTTAAAATTTCTGAGTCTTTATTTTGGCAAGATAAATAACTTATGGTAATCTGGAATTCTATTTCATAATATCAATTGTTTTAAACCTCGAACATTAGACAGCCTTCCCAAGTCAAACTTCAGTTTCAAAATTGTCTTCCTGGGCACATGGCTTTTCAAGTACTTCAGAGGTGTCCAGTGTTTCAAGTACCCTGAAGTGTCCAGAAAAGAGAGGTAAAGAGGATTATTTGACATGTTTAGGTACGTGGGACTGCCAAAATGATGCGCAATCTTCTTTAGGCTATATCTTGGTGAATAATGCTAATGTCTGAATATATGCTATCAATCATAATTAAGGTTTTTACATTAAGCTATTGTAAACCAGAGAGATAACCAAACTTGTCAATTGTGTTTCTAACTGTAACTACCCTGGAGATTTTGGTATTCATAGACAATTGTTTTCTTATTTTAAAACATTTTCAAAAGATGGTTTATAATAAGCTGTAGGACTCTGACAGTTCCTCTTAAATACAATTTCTGATTATATTTGAGACAATCAGCCTTCTAATAACTTTAGATATTTTAACATTGGATTAAAGAAAAATGTATAGGACCCATGAAGAGCTGAAATGTTTATATCAAGCAAAACATGTTAACTAAATGGACTGAACTCAGGAAGCTGAAGCAATCCTTTTAACTTTTGCTTGGAATGTTGCTGGTCCTTGTTTTGTTTTTCAGAGTCAATGTAACTTAAACTGTTTATGGCCTTTAATATTTAAGCAAGGTATACTCCTGGGATCAAAATTTGGAGAATGTTTGTTTCCCTCTGCCTGATTGCTCTAGAATTTGGAAACTGTGAGTGTTCTTAACTTACGGCATTATGGTTGTTTGCATCAGTGCAATAAGAATCCATTTTTCTTTTGCAACAGGACACTATTGGAGAAAGTGGTTATTTTACCAAGGCTTTGACTGGAAGGGTATTCCTTTTAAGGAGTCAGTCTTGACTTGCAGAGCCAATAAAAGCCCACTGGGGGAACTGGTCTCATACCCTTGCCAATGCAGTCCCTGTGCAGGGCTCCTGACCTGTGGTCAGTAAAGAATGTCACTTGCTAACAGGTCCAGGAGCTTCAAGTTTATCTTGAGACCTTAAAAGGAGAATACTCACAGGTATTCGAGGATAAACCCATGGCTGGATTTGGCCTTAAAAGGTCTTATCTGAGATTCCTTGTGGAATAAACTTCCATCGAATTACATAGGCCAATCCAAAGGTCTTATGTAAAAATAATTATTCTTACTGCACTTTATGCAAATAATCAGGCCAAGTATAAAACTAAAGTCTATTTTGCAAACAACTGAGTCCTATGATGATTTGTTTTCTTGACAAAAATGAGAGCTAGAGAGAGAGAAATTATGTTTCAAAACTTATACATTTGTTAGTAATTTCTAAATTATTAGCTGTTTTTAAGCGTTTGCCTATATTTTAGACTAATCCTGCTTGTTCCTATGAACCAGCCAGCAATCTCTGGCTGCAACTCAGAAAGAACAAAAGTGATGAGTAATGTAAAAATCTGTATGAATATTCCAGTTCCGAGCAATTGTCCTGCAAATCCTGCCATGTGATGGGAATAAATAGGATGCTCCTCATCCAGAGGTTTCCTTTTTGGGAAAGTAAGACCAAGGGAGCTAACCAAAGCCAAGCACCATGCACCCAAATCCCAGCAAGCATAACTGTAGCCACCAGTTATCTGGGCATATCACAAGACATCCTTTCCTCTCCCTTGTTGGAAGAGGACTCAGTTCCACGGTTTCACCTTAGCATTCGGCTTATGATAAGGAGTTCATGCAATGCCCCCTGATACACATTTTTGTCCCAGATTCAATTCCAAGCTCCAAGTCAAAAGCACTAGGAGAGAAAACTGGATCTGTAGGATCCAGAGGCAGATGTTAATGGCAGTTAAAAGGCACAGTGCAGGTGATTCCTGCTGACTAAGCCAAGCCCAAGCGTCCTGTTCCACATTAGTATTGATGTCATAAATGAGGTCTAGGGAACTCCAAGGCTACTGACAGTAGGTGAGAAAGAGACATAGATTAGAATGGATAATTCCTATTCTCTAGGCCACCTTGCTTCTTGGGTGCAAGCCACTTTGGTATTCATGGCAGCACCTGCCAAGGTTGCCAGAGCTCAGGGATGCAAGGATGGAAGACAGAAAGAGGATGCTCTTCTCTCTTTCCTCACTTACCAGGAGTATTTGCTAGAAAGAGAAGGGAGCCAGCGATGCCTGCTCCCCTTTTTCTAGATGGGTAGCCATTTATCTTCAGTCTGTACCCCTTTCAAATGCATCCTGAACCCTTGGGACTCCTTGAAAAGGCACCTTCTTTTTCCTCTCTCCTCCTCTGTTCTCTCTTCACTGATAGGTAATTGTGTCTCTGTACCACGGGACACACCCCTCAGATGCATCCTCCAAACTGGAAAGAGTTAATTTCCCAAACCTTAAACTGATTAGCTTAGGATTGGGCTCAGGGAAAGGGAACCCAGAAGCCCAACATGCTGGCAAAAGGGTAAAGTTGTTTTTTTTTTTTTTTTTTTTTTTTTTTCCAGTCAGGCTTTTGGACTTCCTCTCCCTGTGCTAACTGGTAAAAGGCCTTGGAAATTCTTAGCTGTCTGCACCCCTCCCCTTGTTTCATTTTGATGTTTATTTTCTAATAACCTGGTTTGTCGGTTCTTGCCTTCAGGCCATCAAACTTCAGTCATGCAACTGGACCCTCTGACAATGGCCCCTTCTGCTGGGAACCCTTAGGTAGGCCTCTGAGGGAGCTCCGACTGCCATTTCTGCAAAAGAGCAACACCATCGGCAGGAAACAGTTAATATCGGTTTTTGTTCTCATCCTTAATCTAATGGCAGTTAGATGTACCTCTTTAGCGGGGGGAATGCTACAACCAGGTGGGAGGGTGTCCCCAGAAAACCAGCCTGCCCACTGGGGTGGAGCCTCAGGAAGTTCACAACATTTGCAGCGGGTAGGAGCTTGGCCCCTCTTCTTCCTGTGTGGAACCTGGGATTTGAATGGCCAGCAGGAAGCACTATCAGGGACTCTGGCCTAGCAAGAGTCCCTGTTTCCCTTTTTTCTTCCTTTTCACCTGATAAAACCCTGCTTTACTGACCCTTCAAACCATCTGCGAGCCTAAATTTTCATGGCCAAGGGATGGACAAAAACCCTGTCTTTAGCTGACCTAAGGAACAGTCCTACAATAATGGGAGAGAAACACTGTCTCAAAAAAAATATTCTAATTCATGGATTAGAAGATTTAATATTGTCAAAATGTCTGTACTATCCAAGGCAGTCTATAGATTCAATAAAATCTGTATCAAAATTCTAATGTAATTTTTCACAGAAATAGAAAAAAAATTCTAAAATTCATATGTAACCACAAGAGACCCAGAATAGCCAAAGAAATCTTGAGCAAGAAGAATAAAGCTGAGACATCACAATACCTAATTTCAAAATATGCTACTGTGCTATAGTAATCAAAACAGTATGATATTGCCATAAAAGCAGACATATAAACTAATGGAACAGAATAGAGAGCCCAGAAATAAATCGAAGCATTTAGAGTCAATGGATCATTAACAAAGGTGCCAATAAAACACAATGGGGAAAGGATAGTCTCTTCAATAAGTCATGTTGGGAAAACTGGACATCCACAGGCAGAAGAATGAAACTGGAGCCTTATCTCACACCATGTACAAAATCAACTAAAAATGGATTAAAGTCTTAAAGGTAAGACTTGAAACTAAAACTAATAGAGAAATGCATAAGGGACATTGGTTTTGGCATTGGTCTGGGCAATAATTTTTTTTTGGATATGACACTAAAAGCACAAGAAACAAAATAAAAAATAGACAAGTGAGATTGCCTTAAACGAAAAGCTTCTGCTTAGAAACAAAAAAGAAACACACACACACACCAAAAAACCCAGTCAACAGAGTGAACAGGCAACCTACAGAATGAGAGGGAATATTAGCCAATATACTTTATAAGGGGTTAAAATCCAAAGTATACAAAGAACTCAAAAGCAAAAAAGCAAGTAACTCACTTAGGAAATACGTAAAGAACCTGAGTAGACATTTCTCCAAAGAAAACACAAAAATTGCCAATGGACATCTAAAAAGGTGCCCAGTATCACTAATCATCAGGGAAATGCAAATTAAAACCACAATGATATGTTACCTCACATCTGTTGAGATTGCTATTATGAAAAAGACAAAAGATGAGTGTTTTTGAGTGTGTCAAAAAAGAAGGAACTTTTGTGTACTGTTGGTGGGAGGGTAAATTGGTACAGCCATTAGGGAAAACAGTGTAGAGTTTCCTCAAAAAATTAAAAATATAACTACCATATAAACAGCAATCTCACTAATGGGTACATATGAGAAAATGAATTCAGTATTTCAAAAATGCTGTCGATACTTGTGTGTTCCTTGCAGTGTTATACACAATAGCAAAGATATGGAATCAATCAAAGTGTCCGTTGATGGATAAATGGATAAAGAAATTGTGGTATACAGTGGAAATTATTCAGCTATAAAAAAGAAGGAAATCCTGTTATTTGTGAGAGGACATGTTAAGTGAGATAAGCCGGGCACAGAAAGTCAGATAATACATGATCTCACTTGTATGTGGAATCTAAAAAAGTCAAATTAATCAAGACAGAGAGTAAAATGGTAGTTTTCAGGGGTTGAGGAGTGTGAGAAATGGAGAGATGTTGGCCAAAGAGTACAAAGTTTCAGTTATACAGGATGAATAAGTTCTGGATATTTAACGTATACCATGGTGACTTAGTCAATAATGCACAACTGAGTACTTGAAATATTCTGAGAGTAGATCTTAAATGTTCTCACCACACCAAACAAAAAACATATTAACTATATGAGGTGATGGACATGTTAATTAGCTTGAGATTGGTAACCGTTTCACAATGTATATATATATACAAATATAATGCCCTGTACCTTAAACATATGTAATTTTTATTTGTCAATTATATCTCAATAAAACTGGAAAAAATACTTCATGCATTTTCACTTTTGCACCTCACCATTGCCATTAAGAAAAAAAATGGCTTGATAAGCTAGCCGATAAAAGGATAGAAGATGTAGAAGAGAATCATTCCAGCTGACCCAGTGAGCTGCAGTGTGAAGTGGATGAGCCCCAGCATCTACAGGGAGAAGCAGAGCCACCAGTGCCCTCAACAGCGAGCCTGCCCTCTGTTAACTAAAACAGCCAACCTGCCAATTCATAAGAACAGTCCATTTGTTTCCATTCCCTGAGGTTCGTGTTTGTTTGTTTTGCAGTATTTTGTGACAATAGCTAAGCGCAACAAAAGCTAACTCTATTTTGTGAATGCCCCTGAGCAACAATTATACACAATTCACAAGATGTATAACCGTACGATACCCCAAACCAAGGCAGGCAATTTTAATGTGCTTTCCAATATCTTCGCTTTAATTGTATCTAGGTTTGTCTGCATCCTTTTTCTTAATGTGACTTGTATGTATGCATTTATGTTCTAACTCATGACATGTTAGCAAAGATAACACCTTTTACATGAATACAAACATAAATGAATTGGAATAAGGATAATTCATCTTAAGTCTTTTTTTCTGTTCTTTTTCTTTTCCTGGGCTTCTGAAATAATTCTTATCTTTTCATTAGGCTTATAACAATCATTGTAGCAATTATATCTGTTTTGTGCTTCATCCCTTATGTAAATTAATTGTCATCTCAGTGTATTGCTGTAAAAATAGGGATTCCTAGGGAAGATAACTTTCATAGAATTAATTATTCAGAGGCCAATTATCCAGTTCTAGGCTATTCACATTGTTTTTATTTTCTCACTTCTCCATATATTTGAATATTTCTCAGTCCATTAACGATCCATTTTGCTTCTCATTAACATCTCTGGTAAAAGGTATGGTGAAAGAACTAATTGATACTTTTAGAAATGATGAAACTTTTGAATTAACTAAACTCAGGATACACTCACTATCTTACCCCCTACCTTACTAAGACAAACAGTTGAGTTTATTTCATGTTATAGGTAAACTTAGACTGAGAAAAGCTTTAATTATTATTTTTTTGCTTCATGAACATATAAAGAGGGCATCAACTATGTCATCTTTTTCTAAGACTACAAACTGAAATTATAGCACTATTAGCCTCTAATAAATACTTCTCATTTTCTGTGGCCCTCAGGTTGAAGGATATAGTTTGCAGTCATATTTATTATATTTTCTTATTTATTTCACTCTCCCTTACCCCAGTCCTGGGTGCCGCCATTCTGTTTTCTGTTTTTGTAAGTTTAGCATTTTTAGATTCTGCATATAAGTGAGATCATGAATTATCTTTCTGTGTCTGACTTATCTCACCTAAAGTATTCTGGGTTCATACATGTTGTCATAAATGAGCACAATTTCCTTCCTAAATAGAATTCCATTGCATGTATACCCCTCATCCATGATTTTGCTTTCTATGGTTTCATGGTTTCACTTACCTGCAACCAACCATAGTCCAAACATATTAAATGGAGAATTCCAGAAATAAACAATTTGAGTTTTAATCTGCATGTTGTTTCTGAGCAGTGTGATGAAATCTCACGTTTTCCCGCTTAGTCGCTGTTCAGTACTATCCAAGAGTTCAGGCATTCACTGGGGGTCTTGAAACATGTCTCTCTTGGCTAAGAGGGACTACCATATACCACGTTTTCTCTATCCATTCATCTGTTGATGAAAGCTTAGATTGATTTCATATCGTGGCTATTCTGAATAATGCTACAATGAATAAGAGAGTGCAGGTACCTTTTCCAGTTACTGATTTCATTTCCTTCGGATATATGCCCAGAAATGGGATGGTTGGATCATATAGTAGTTCTATTTTTACTTTTTTGAGGAACCTCCATAATGTTTTCCATAATGGCTGTACTAATTTACATTCCCTGTGGTGATAATTATTAACTATATTGTATTGCAGTTCTGTGATGCTCGGGGCTCTGCAAACTATATTTCTCCTTTGCCAGCCATTTCCCTGTTAGTTTCTGCCAATAGAGGCCACTAGAGGAGGATAAAAGGTAGTTGGAGTGAGAAGGCACTTGCTTCTTCCAGGTGTCTACTGCTCCTGCCAGCCTGGTCTCAGCAGTCACTCTTAATCCTGAAGTAGCTATTGGTTCCGGTTTCTTGTATTCTTCCACATTCTGACAACCAGCCTCATAACATTTCTTTGGAGAAACTAGTAACACTCTGGTAGCACACTCTCCTCTAGTTTAGCAAGGTACCTCTTTTGAGCTTTTGAGATACCCGCAGAGTAATCAGAGGCTCTTGTTCCTAAGAGATCTGAATCACAGCTTCTCAAGGCCTCTCTTCTAGTGTTCTGATAAATTCAACTTCTTACCTTGTTCCTTACATGCTAAGATTACTATCATTGTGTCAGTCCAATGTTCCCTTTTTGATTGTTGAGTCTTCTGATGGTTTTTTTTTTTTTTTTTTTTGAGACAGAGTCTCACTCTGTCGTCCATGCTGGCGTGCAATGACACAATCTCGGCTCCTTGCAAACTCCGTCTCCCTGGTTCAAGCAATTCTTGTGCCTCAGCCTCCCAAGTAGCTGGGGCTACAGGCATGCACCACCACACTCAGCTCATTTTTTGTAGTTCTTCTAGAGACGGGATTTCACCATGTTGGTCAGGCTGGTCTTGAACTTCTGACCTCAGGTGATCCGCCCGCCTCAGCCTCCTCCTCCGAAGTGCTGGGATTACAGGCATGAGCCACGGCGCCCAGCTCCAATAACTTTTTAAACATTTCTTGCTTTAGACCCTCTCTGTTGAACTAACTAGCATGGTTTCCATTTGCTGGCTATAGCCTGATGATATGGTGCTGAATTTAGATGTCCTGTCAATCACCTTAAAGACAAAGACTTTTGTCTTTGTAGCCCCTTCTATCCTTAGCTCATGGCTTGCTGTAGAAATGCTTGCTCTATGTATAGTCATGGAAGATTTCCCTGGTCCCATGCTCTGCCTACTAGGCATCTATTTTACATTGTTTGTACCTAATATATTTTGGGTGTATATTGACTTAGCTATGTTAAGTGGTTCATTTGCACTGTTCCCCTCATCAGACACAGATCTAATTGTCATGCTTTCTGAATTCTTTTAATTGTCTCTTTCCCACATGTTGTCATTATTTGGCTCATTTCTATCCTCAGGGAATGATGTAGCGTCCTCATCCTCATCAGCCACTTGATGAGACTGAACAGTGTCAATGTCAGCCTCATTCTCACTTGAGTTTTTATTATCTGCCTCTGAGTTGGCAAAATTTTCCTCCCACTAGTGTTGATGTGTGGCTTTTACATTAAGCCTATTAGTTTTAAGTAAGGGGTGGCCTTGGTCAGTTCTGGTCTGGTTCCCTAGTGCCTCCTTTCCTCACAGTATGCCACCAGTCATCATTAACTTATAATACTACACTGTGTAATAAAGCCTGCAATTAGTGCTGAGAAAATGGCTCAGAAGCAATATGTGTGCCTTGATTTGGCATTCTCTGTATTGCTTTACAAAACCTGATTTCTCTTCCTGGGTCAAGCCAACCCTGAGGCTAATTGGCTCTTCTGTTCTATCATTCCTTTATACTTCTATTGTTGTTATGCCTACAGTATTGTCATTGAAGCAGCGTCCCCCCAGCCCCCAACACACGCACTATACTGAAGTTTGGTACTGGCCACAATGTTCAGAGATGAAGTGGTTTGCTTTTTCTGGTTTCTTCCCCCAAACTAGCTACATGAATAATAATATTTTGTACATCTCAAGAAATTTTCCCCCAAAGCATCAGCTTCACAATATTATCTACATCAAATGTTTATGCACTTTTGCCATTTACTTTTCACGTATAAAGCACATGGTAGCAGCCTCAGAAGAGAAATATTTGTTGTTGCATGCTCTTTTTAAATGCTTACCCACCATCTCTTTGGAAAAATTAGGAAAGCAAATAACCAAAGTGAATTGCAATCTAACTGAATGCAACGCTCAGGAAATTTTCAAAGAGGATTTCTAAATATGTTGGCTCTTCCACAGTCTCTTTCTGTCTCTCTCTCTCTCTCTCTCTCTCTCTCTTCTTTTATTAGCCACACTTAGTAGAGTTCAATTTTCATACCAGCTGTCATATATAATTGAATGTTAACCAAATGGAGATAGCATTAAAAAGGGGGAGAGAAGAAGAGGAAGGAAAAGTCTTATTTTAGTAACAGAAAATACAAATTCAGAATTTCGAACTTTTTTTTTTTTTAGTTTGTTTCACCTATGGAAGATTTTCTTCCTTCCCTTTCTCCAAAGTTGATTAGGCTGGGAATCAGACATCAATTTATAAGATTCTAGATACTGTTTTGGAGAAAAGTCCTTAAGGGATGTGAGTAAGGGAAGAAGACGGGTAGAAAGTGAAATTGTGACAGAAGTTTTACCCCAAAGAAAATTGTAATGAAGAAGACTGGTTTAAAAACAACAAACAAACAGACAAACACACAAAAAAACTATGTGCCATGACTTTTTTTTCAAACTATTGAGAAGATATGCTATCACCATTTTCCCTGGCATATCTGTTTTGCTTCTTGCTCAGAGCAAGAATCTAAAGATGTGCAGCATCAAAGTAATATTGATGGCTAATATATAGTATTTTCTATGAGCATCAAGAGTGGCAGTGTTTCTGACAGACAACTGGGTCAGATAGCCAGGACATGAATTCGAGGGGATCCACAAAGGACAGTTCTGCATTTTCCATATCTAGAGGCTGTATCTGGGTCAAAAGAATGCACTTTGCCTTTGCTTCATACAGCTTGAGCCAGCTGGACTCTATCCAGGAAGATAATGCTGACAAATCCTGGGAAAGCAAGAAGCAGCAGCAGCTTCTCTCTCATCGTGCAGCATATGATATCACTGTTTCTCCTGAGTCTCTTTGTCCCTTTGACATGTAGTAATAATTAAAGCATACAGATCTGCATTTATTAGAGGCCAAATAGCAGGCTTGAATATTGAGTCAGAAGTTTCTGTACCTATAAGTCACATAGCAAAGTGCATAAAGCAACTCCATCTATGAAGGAATGAAGTCATCTCTTCATCCTTAACAGAGAGTGAAGAAAGACTTATGGAACATGTCATATAAACCAGCCCTTGTTCTGCTCTATGTACTTATTATACACATGCTCATTTAATGTTAAAAATAATGACTTTGTGGATTAAGAATGTGAATGTTGGCATCATTAAGAGCCCTGAATGTAGCTATTTTTATTCTCAATTGAGAGATGAAAAAACTGAACTTGTGTACAAGGAGATATGAACATGAATGTAGACAATTGCTTTGTTTTTAACAGAGGAAAAATTTGTGGAAAGTACCCAAATGTAAGGAGAATAGCCAGGTAAATTGTGGCCTGTATGTCTAATGGAATGCTATAAAACGTCAGTATAAATAAAATACAGCTATACATGTCAATAGAGATAACCCTCAAAAATGTGTAGCCCGTATCTTTGCTATTGTGAATAATGTTGAAATGAGTGATGAAGAGGAGATATCTCTTTGAAAGACTCGTTTCATTTCCTTTGGATATATACCCAGGAGTGTGACTGCTGGATCATATGGTAGTTCTATTTTTAGTCTTTTGAGGAAACTCCACCCTATTTTTCAAAATGGCTGTACTAATTTGCATTCTCACCAACAGTGTCTGAGGGTTCCTTTTTCTCCACATCCTAACCAACACTGTTCCATTTTCATCTTTTTGATAATAGCCATTCTAACAGGTATGAGATGAAATCTCACTGTAGTTTTAATTTGCATTTCCTACGTTAATTAGCTTGATTGAATCTTCCTACAATGTATACATAGATCAAAACATCACATTGTACTCCATAAATATAGTTACTGTCAAGTAAAAATAAATTAATATAAAATTAAAAAGAAACAAACCCCTAAAACTATGATGTTGAATAAAAACTTCTAACAGAAGACTATGATTCTGCTAATATGGAATTCAAAATAGGCAAAGTGAAACAACATATTATTTAGGAACACAAATATATTTGGTAAAAATATAAAGAAGACCAAAAGAATGATATATCATAGCAAATCCTCCGGAATGGAGAGAGAGGGATTTGGGAAAAGACACCCAGAAGAATCAATAGAGTTGTATTTCTTAAGCCGTGTGGGGGATACACAGATGTTGTCTTATTATTGTTTTTAACTACTTATTATATATACCATTCTTTATGCATGATGCCCAGAAAGACAGGAAAATAAGTAAAAGAAGACAAAGTAATTAACTTATAATAATCTAAATTCAGCACCATGTCCTCCATGCTACAACAGCTATGAATGATGTTCAAAATTGTGTTTACTTCCACAAATAAGCAGAAATCTCTGTTAAGACATGAAGAAGAGATACAGACACTGAATTTAAGAAACAATATGCTGTATACGAATGCATATAAGAAACTTTAGATTCCACTTTTAATCCTGGCACTGGCTTGTTCATTCACTTTTAGCACCTTTGTTTTCCTATGCATGAGGTATATTGCATACAGCCCTTCAAACACTTGCAATCCAAATGAGAATTTAAAAGATTTACTACGAAATGCCAAATAACCCTTGCCAACCCCCCTAGATTTAGATAAATAAAATATTATAATACAGACCTAAAGGGGTGAAAAAATTTGTGGCTAATGAAATTGTAAGATTAAATTTCCAGAATGTGTTGCAGTACCATAACCATAATTAGAGCCTCTTGTTTTTGAAAATAATGCAGAAGGCAGGGACAAAGTCTATACACTGTAATTCATTTTAAATTGTGCCCTTTTTGAATTGGTATAAAGTTACAAAATAAGTGTCCTTTGAATGCTACAATAGGAAAACTGTATTTAGGGCAATTTTTATTTTTTCATGTTTATTTAGGAAAAGCACTTGAAATTATTTTAATGGAGGAGAAAATTAAAGATTATTTCAATAGTTTTGGTACACCTATGAACAAGCTTTGAATATTGCTATTGAGCAAAGCAAGGGTGGTAAAATGGCAATTTGCTTTAAGCCAGTTGTTGTGCAAGAGCTTTGGGCTAAGAATCAGCAGACCTGTTCACAAGTTCACCGTGTCACAAATTAACTGTGTAATTCTGCACTTTACTTGAATCATTACTACTAAAAGATTTGAGGGGGGCAGATGGCTCCTAAGGTCCTGTTTGTTCTCATATCATCATCTTTTCTCCAAAACATGCCACACTTAAGACATGATTATCCCATCCCCCATCCCCTGAACTCGTATCTCAGAGGGCCTTGTTGACACCTTGGATTGTGGTCTTTCCTGTTAGGTGCTCTGTGTTATAAATTAGTTGTATGCTTTCCATTATGGTCATGGGCAGGTGTCCTCAGCCCTCTCCTATCGTGATTGGCTGGGAGCCTGGAACCAGAAACTGGCCCATACCTCTGTTCCTACAAAGCTGCTGGGCTGTTTTCACTTTGCAGCTGCTTGACTTGAATGCCAAATTCTCCTAGTGAGTGGTGGCTGACCACCTGGCCAGGGCCATGCAGCCAGCTGCCACTTACAGCTTGAGGCTAAAATATAAGCATTCTAATGCCTAACCTCAGCCCCATCTGAACTCACTTCTCTCAGTTCTTTTTCTCTGTGAGTGTTAATTCAGAGTTGATTCTTCACTCCTTCTTTCCTCATTTGCTTACTTTTTCCCTTCCTTTCTGTAAAGAATACATATTTATAAATTGCCTATGAAGTACTGTGCACTGTGTGTGGATACAGCCTATTATTTATATCTATGTAGATATGTGAGAATTGAAGTTTTGCATGCTTGGAAAAATCAAATAAAATCTCTCAAACACAAAAAAAGAGAGACAGAGAGAGGTACCAAATTCCATTCTCTTTCTATTTCCATAGCTAGCATAATTTCATTTCCCCCATCCTCCTTGGAAGTCACCTGCTCCCAAATGGTGCTTGGTGGATTTAAATGCTATTCAAAAATCCCAGCTGACAGTTGTTAGCTGACTCTGTTCCTGCCATAGCTCAGATCTCTCCCAGGATGTTTTTGTTTTGGTATATAGGCAATGCCGTGTATCCACCAGTTAACCTGATATATTTCTGTTATTCTCTTGGGTGCCTTTTTGCAGCTAAAAACTATTCCCTGTTGTTTCCTAATGAGAATTTTGGTTGAACACGGAGTGGCAATAGCAGGTCAGTCCTTAGGTTTAACCCCCAGTATTTCCTCTTTGTTTTTAAAAGCTTATTGGGCTAAAGCCAAGGTAGCAGTTAGAATCCAGAAGAACTCAGGGGGAAAGGTTTATGAATGCATGGTGAGCTCATATTATCAGTTCCTATTTTAGTGTTTCAAAATCTCCCATGGTGTTTGAAAGCATCTTGATAATTAAAAGAAAATATTGCCTCATAAAAATTTCATCTTCATTTCAAAGTAAAGCATTTTTTAAAAGACTTAGTTTTACAGAACTTGGAGGAACTATGCTTACCTTTCTTCCCTCCCTCCATTCTTTCTTCCTTTCCTTTTTTCTTTCTTTTTCAGTTTTTCTTTTTCTACATGTAATAAAGGTGATTGATAGAAATATAAATGATTAGATCAGAAATGATTAGAAAATTGATTGCTTGATCTGACCTACTTTTTTTCATAATTAGGCAACAGACTCTTCATGTTATTGTCAAATACTCTGCCCTGAACTGATTTGGGCTTTGATATCACAGGTCATAGACTCATCTAAGCCTCTGGAGTGTACACTGGAATGGGGGCCAAAGAGCTTTAACAAATGTGAAATAAATACAATATTTTAACAGAAAAAAATATGCAGCCTCAAATGCTTATCACTACAAATCTCTGATAAGAAGAAACAAATTTGCTAATATATGTATTTGTGTTTGGTGCTTATGACAATGGTATTCATGTGCTTTAATGAGGTAATATATTCAGATGATTTTTTTCATACTTTAAATTCTCACAGTGACATTGACCTGAAATGCCTGGGCCCACTGGAGAAGAACAAAGGGCTTATATAGTATATCCTTTCTAAAGTGATGCTGGGGAAGAATGCAAACATATATTTAGGCCCTGTGGTCTCATTTCGCTTAATAAGAGAGCATTACCACAGCCAAAAACACTGCTTGGTGACATAATGGGCAAGGGCCTGACATGCCCACACAAACGGGCATCAAGGGGCTATTTCAGATTCTTGATTTCTTGCCAAATAGTGAATAATCTTAAAATCAAATGTGCAGCAATAATAGGCCCAGCTGGGAGGATTAAGAAATAAGTATCTATTGAGCTGCCTGATCTCTTTGTTCTTTAGGTTTAGAGTAGGATAAATGAAAAAGGGGAGGCCAAGAGGGAGTGGTTTAATATAGAATAAATTGTCTAAAAGGGATCAGTGAAAGCAGGATTATTGATGAGTTAGGGAGTGAGCTAGCTGACTTTTTATTTTCAGACTAAGACAGGATAGAGATATGGGGATAAACTAGGAAATCAGATAAGAAAAACAAAGGATGCAGGCGTATTTGCCTTAAGTAGTCTTTTTCTGTTTCTGAGATTTCTTATGTTCTTGTGCTCTGAGCCAAGATCAGTTGAGATTAATCAGTTGTATAGAAAGCATTGTGATCACATTGCAGGCTTTTAAAGTTTAAATTTGTTTATTGAGCACAATTTGGTTAGCATCAGGTGCTGAAGTTATAGACACCAACACTAGCATAGAAATTACTTTATTTAGCTCCCAGTTGTAAGTTTCTATAGCAACTGGGGCCTGTACCAGAAAGCTGAGATTCTTGTGCTCAAATGATTCAGGCAGAGATGGCAATATCATATTTAGGGGGGCACTTGCTTCTTTTTTCCAAATTTTTTTCTGTCTTGTGAGAAGCCTCTTTAATGTGATTCTATCTGCTTAGTCATACTTTTAATTACACCTCTGCTTTGAACCCTCTCCTCTTGGCAGCAGTATAAAGTATCTATTTTGGTTGTGTTTCGATTTCCATTGACTAGTTAGTATATTGATGCAGAGGAAATGAATGTGATCTGTTTTAAATACAGTTGAAAATTCTGAATAGTGAAGAAAGTGTCCATGGTGACAAATGCAGTTAACCAATCCAGGAAGAAATTGGGATGTTAATTCAAAAAGGAAACCTAATTTAATTTCTACATTATGCTTTCATTCTGACCATAAATGCAATGTCATGATAATTTTAAATATGGGGGATGTCCCTTATGAAGTTCTCTTTTTAAGTTTTTAAGTAAGTGATTTTATTTTTGTTTTATAAATGAATGTTTTTATTGTAACAAATAGGACTTTTTTGGAGTGGCTTGTTATGGTCGAAGTAATATTTTATGATGCTAGTTTAGCCAATACTGGAGAAAGGCTTAGGAAAAAATAATTACATCCTGGCTCCAATTATGAAAATAATCTCTACATTAAAAATATATAAATATAGTAGATTTTTTGCTGCCTGTGCTTTGGAATGGCTGTAATGCAGGCATCTATCTATCTATCGTGTATATATATATATATAGCTATATAGATCTGTATATGTGTATATCTGTATATCTATATATAGATATACAGATTTCTAGAAAAAATGAATATCAAATAAAATAAACATACTGGAAATACATGTTTTAAATAATATTGTCTTTTTGATGAAACTCCACATTTTACAAGAACTGGCTTTTGATATTTGAAATAATCATGAACTGAGTAGTTTAAAGACTATTTAGTAGAAGATTGCTTATGGTATAATGTATGGCATAGTCTTTTAGTTTGGCAAATGACAAGAATAAACCATAAAAGCAAGGATTCTATTTGTGCCCTAATAAAACAAAAGAAAACAAAGGATTTCCATTTAGTGTTCACATTTACTGCTAACTTGAGGCCTATTAACATTTGGAAAACACAAATTCTAAAGGCAGCTGCCAGCAATTGGCCAATTATAATTTCACGATTGAAAGAGAAAATCTTATTTCACTATGAAATTCTGTACTTGTTTTCTCCTTTCATGAATTACCCCACAGCCAAAGCACGATGTGTGTGAGAGGAAGGAGAAAATAGACTCACTCCTGGTTGTCTGCAGAAATGTATCACCTCAGATGACCTTGATTCTCTTTGCATTCAGTAGGAGATTTTCTTTTACTAATTTTACAACAGATTTAATTGTAATAAAATTAATTCAGATTGTGATTATCTGTCTCTATTTGTACTCAGTTTCTATGAGGAATCTTAAAATATCATCAGTTCCATAGTTGAGTGTCTGTGTGTCATTATTGCAGTATGTCTATTATATCATGATATATCTGAAGTCACGTAAGACCAATTTTGCTCTTTCAGGCAAGCAGTTTTCCAGATCTCTGTTAGAACTCTGAATAGATAATTGCTCCTTTAACAAAACATGCATAGACAAAACATTTGATGAATAAAGAGCAGTTATTAACCTACACTCACATTTGTGAATATCAGGGTTTAGAACTATTACAAAATGGATTCTGCCATGAGTCAGTTTTGTTTTTCCTTTTCAAATATATCCGTTACATATTTTTTTTTCCTTCAGGTAACTTACAGTAATATTGCTTAATTTAAAATGTACCAGCTCTCCTAATGTAGCAACTTGATTAAAAAGAATTAAATGTTTACTCAAAATCATAGTCAAATAGAATGTAGAACTTGAAAATAGTAAGTTGAATTTCTCAGTATTTTATTGCAGAAATGAAAATAGTAATTATTGGAGGAGATAAGTGATTTATACAATTTGGTTTTGTTAGCTAAATCAAAACAGGCTTACTTAAACATGTATTTGAATCATAAATTGGTTTTTGTAGTCACAAACCAATTATACTGGATTCTTATTAATTATTTGTTGGTAACAGTAAACAATCAATAGATTAGAGTGTCAAAAGCATTTGGTGGGGGGAGGGGTGTTACGTGCAGAAACATTCACCTAGACCATCTGAGGCTCCTCTCTTTAGAAAGCTCATTTGCAAGATTTGACCACTGACTGATACCTGGGAACTTGGCTTCTGAAGCACTCCCTTAACTGGTAAGGTAATTTCTCTGGGCCTAGACATTCGTATAAACAGTGGAATTTATTGTAATGTCTGCTTTCTTTTTGTAAGTCTGGAATTCTGGTAGTTGCTAGGCAAAAGCGTCTATGTTCCCAGCCCCTAGTAAAACTCCTAAACTCTGAGTTTTAAATGGGCTTCAGTTGGCAGAAAAATTCACACTTGATGCTATATTTTTTTTGTTTGTTTGTTTTCTAGAGGGACAGTGTGCTCTGTGTGAGCTGTCAGGTTGGGGAAAGGTGATAGGAAACTTTCCATGGATTCTTCCTTGTCTTTACCTGATGTTGTTTTCCCTGTCTAACCCAGCTCTTAATCTTTACTATGTCTATATAAGAAATATTAGTGTTTAGTGGAACTATGTGCCTGAGCCCTGTGAGTCCTTCCAGTGAATCACCAAATATGTAGGTGGTGTTGGGGACCCTTGAGTCAGAGTGTGTCTATTCTGGCTGATTTCAACAATGTGTGAGTTTAAAAGAAAACCAAAACTGAGCCATGGCATGGATTGAACATATGGGAATAAATACCTGCAGAGTAGATTAGCATTTTGGCAAATGTGCCATAATGAATATGCTTGCTGTCTACCAAATTCTCATTAAAATACAAATACTTAAGGTAATATAAAAGCTGATGTCAGTTGTGAAAACAAAACGAAAAAGGAGATGCTATGGCAAAGTTTGGCATAATTTATGTTAACTGAACTATTGCCAGCTTTTGCTTTAAGTATGTTTATTAAATTCTAGTGGAATCTGAGCTTCTGTTTTGATGGCTTCTTATCCAAATTAAGAAACTATACAGGAGACTCCAGAATAAGAATGAGCTTGTAGGAAACCTGATGTACTAAGCTTGTGTTGGGTGGAAGTAAAACAAAAATCACTCTTGAAAGCTTATAAACACAAAGCCTACACTCACACTAGTGTGAGGACTGAACTCACACCACTAGTGTGGTCTGAAATAATACCTGATCAAAGAATTCAATTTAAAGTGACTCTGGATTGGTAGTGGCCACAGTAGTTGGCAGAAACACACAGTTCTTTCTGGAAAATTGTATTTCCAAAGCAGGCCTCTAAGAAGTTCTACTTATTGCTTGAGTTCTAAAGAACACAATATCATAGCCAAAAATACAAAACACATAAAATGCATGAAACCATGAGCAAGGGCCAGCAGAACAAACAAATAAACATACAATAAAGTCAGTGAAAACCAAATGAAACAGACCTATAAAAGTTACCCACAAAAATGTCTCTGGAAACTAGTGTTTTAATAGGCAAACTCTTTCAAATGATTAAAGAAACATAATTCTTAAACTATATGATCTTATCCAGATCTTGGAGAGGAAAAAAAAGAGCTTTCCATTTTATCTATGAAGCTAGCATGATCCTCATATCAAAGTTTGACAGGGCACAGAAATATAAATTATAGACTAAATCCGCTTTACATCCTGGATATGAATATCTTAATAAAATATCAAGAAAACAAATTAAAGGTTAGATTTTAAAATCGTTTGGCTTCTTTTGAGAAGTGTCTGTTCATGTCCTTTGCCCATTTTTTAATGGGCTTGTTTTTTCTCTTGTAAATTTAAGTTCCTTATAGATGCTGAATATCAGACCTTTGTCAGATGCATAGTTTGCTACTATTTTCCCCCATTCTGTAGGTTGTGTGTTTACTCTGCTGATAGTTTCTTTTGCTGTGCAGAAGCCCTTTAGTTTTATTAGATCTCATTTGTCAATTTTTACTTTTGTTGCAGTTGCTTTTGGCATCTTCATCGTGAAATCTTTGCCCCTTTCTATGTCTAAAATGGCATTGCCTAGGTTGTCTTCCAGGGTTTTTATAGTTTTGGGTTTTGCACTTAAATATTTGATCCATCTTGAGTTGACTTTTATATCTGGTGTAAGGGAGAGGTCCAGTTTCAGTCTTCTGCACATGGCTAGCCAGTTATCTCAGCACCACTTATTGAATAGGGAGTCCTTTCTCTATTGCTTGTTTCTGTTAGATTTGTTGAAGATCAGATGGTTGTAGGTGTGTGGTCTTCTTTCTGGGCTTTCTATTCTGTTCCATTGGTCTATGTTTTTGTTTTATCACCAGGACCATGCTGTTTTGGTTACTGTAGCTCTGTAGTATAGTTTGAAGCCAGGTAACATGATGCCTCAAGTTTTGTTATTTTTGCTTAGGATTACCTTGGCTATTCAGGCTCTTTTTTAGTTCCATATGAATTTTAAAATAGTTCTTTTCTAGTTCTGTGCAGAATGCCATTGGTAGTTTGATAAGAATGGCATTGAATCTGTAAATTGCTTTGGGCATATGGCCATTTTAGCTATACTGAGTCTTCCTATCCATGAGCATGGAATGTTTTTCCATTTGTTTGTGTCATATCTGATGTTTTTGAGCAATATTTTATAATTCTCATCATAGGGATCTTTCACCTCCCTGGCTAATTGTATTCCTAGATATTTTATTCTTTTTATTGAGATGTTTTACTGTAAAGAGAAGAAGATAAATGAAGCAATAGCAAGAGGAAAATTGATTAGGATAATTTTTATTTATTTATTTATTTTTTCTGAGACGGAATCTTGCTGTGTCGCCCAGGCTGGACTGCAGTAGTGCGATCTCGGCTCACTGCAACTCCACCTCTCAGGTTTAAGCGATTCTCCTGCCTCAGCCTCTGGAGTAGCTGGGATTACAGGCGCGATCACCATGCCTGGCTAATTTTTGTATTTTTAATAGAGATGGGGTTTCACCATATTGGCCAGGCAGGTCTTGAATTCCTGTCCTCGTGATCCGCCCCCCTCAGGCTCCCACAGTGCTGGGATTACAGGCATGAGCCACCACACCCAGCCTGATAATTTTTATTTTTTAAAAAAGAAGAGATAAAAGCAACATGCATATTAGTTGATTGGTTGATCTGGAGAGGGAAAATTTAATAATCAGGAGAGGGAACATCCTTGGAGCAATGTCCTTGGGTAGACAAGAGTATGCAATATAGTGTGAAAGTGGATGGTTGGGCTTAAACAGTGATATTTAATTATAACATGAGGGAGGGCAGATAGATTTGGTGTCTTGCAGAAGCTGTCTTCTACTCACTTAACTTTCTCAATGAAAAACAATGTTGTTCTGAGAATGAAGATGGAGAAGGAGTACTTAGAAGAGTCAGGAGTATCTAGGAGAATCAAGAATGAATGAGCTACAGAAATGTGTTCTGATTTCCAAGAAGCAAGAGAAGACCTCTTGATATTTGTAGTAATGTATTTAAAATGAGATCGACTGGTACAGTTGTGCATTTTTCTTGAACCACAGTCAGTTGCACAAGTGAGTGCAGAATAGGCAGAGTGTTGAGGTTTCAATAAATACACATCATACACTAAGAGTCAAGAAATCTGAGAGTGTAAGCACAGAATTGTTAATTTAAGGTATATCAATATGGGTTATCCAAATATCAATGCTATAGTAACATCCTGAAACAAAACAAGCACAAAGGTATAAATGCCTAAACTGGAGGAAACTTGAAACTCTCATGTTAAATCTTCAATGTGGTATTTCTAACTTGTGAAGACAGATTGGTAGGCAGCCATTTTTTTGCGTTCTTAAAATAAATGGGGGCATAGTTAAAATTTTGTACATCAAGTGATTGCTCTTATTGAATGTTGCAGGTCAGATGTGGTTATTTTTAGTTTATTTGAAATATTGGACTGGAAAGTGGGGAGGGGGAAGCAAATATTTGAGATCTGGAAAACCCTAAACCTTTTGGTAAGAAATTGTAATTTTCACTTAAATTTTCTTTAAGGATGTAAGAGGTTTATAATTGATGCAGTTAAATTGAACAATAACCATTGATGACTATGGAACGTAATTATAGCCTGCAGAAAAGTTATAATCTAAGAATTGAAAAAATAAGATCCTGAAGTTGTTTAATTGCATCAGTTTTTGTATTTATGTGAATTTATAAACTGCAGTAAGTTTTGAATGAGGTTAATCTTGTTTAATATAAGTAAATGAGTCTGTAGACTGTGATCTCCCCAAACTAAAAATTACAGTACTTGGAATTGTGTTCTTTATGGTTGTAGTGTTGGTAAAGCACTAATATGCCGAAAATAAAGGAATTACACAGTGGAAAAAATAAAAATAAAAAATAAAAATAATCGTCTTTGTTTATTAGGATTTCGTAGTGGAAATATCTGGGTAAAGTAATAATAAAAAGCTTGAGCTGAGTGAGAGACAGTGCAAATGAGGCAGAAATAATGCATTGTAGATCCTGGTGGAATCAAAGTGTTGGGATAATGGAGATAAAGAGTTGGAAATTTAGGAAGTAACATTCAAACAGTGGGATTCTTTTTTTTTAAAGACAGTCACACTTTGTCACCCAGGCTGGAGTGCAATGGCACAATCTTGGCTCACTGCAACCTCCATCTCCCTGGTTCAAGCGATTCTCCTGCCTCAGCCTTCCAAGTAGCCGGGGCTAGAGGTGCGCACCACCAAGCCTGGCTCATTTTTGTATTTTTAGTAGAGAAGGGATTCACCGTGTTGGCCAGACTGGTCTTGAACTCCTGACCTCAAGTGATCCATCTGCTGTGGCTTCCCAAAGCGCTGGGATTACAGGCATGAGCCATCGCACCCAGCCTCAAAGAGTGGGATTCTTGAAACTGAGATTTTAGAAGGTTGTAGTGATCAGTAACAAATGCAAAGGTATGACTAGGAGAGTGAGTGGTTTATATGTCACGAAGTATAAGATCTTTCAAAAGGAATCAAAAGACTAGGGTATTGGAAGCATCACCTATGTGAATATTAAAATCACCACAAATGAAGATAGCAAATAGAGTTAGAGAATGTTAAGACTGTCCGCAAATGAGGGGGTCAATAGATAACTCTAACAAGGATGTAAAGTCTACATATCCAGGAATTTTTAAGGACAAAAGTAGAGCATGAAAATGACAATGAAGGATAAAGATGATACCTACCCCATCTTCAGTCCCTGTGCTAGGAAGGCTGTGGGGTGGGGGGGGGGGGAGCGGGAAACAGCTACCACTAGAGAGGGCTGTAGAGAGCAGTCTGTTCAATGGAGATCTTGGTTGTCGTTGTAGGAATAAGGGGTAAGAAATGTTCAGAGAACATATTAAGAGTATTGAGAATTTTGCCGTGGATGTGTGGTGGGTTCCAGAAGGTATAGTGGGGAGGTTTTAGAAATGAGGGTGGTGAGAGTCAGTTCTAGGATAGGAGTTGTATAGAGCTACATGGAGAGCAGAAGGTAGGAGACTGAGGGTAATCTGAGAGTCTTCTTCAGAGGCAAACAAACAAGAAAAAATGGCATGATGGCATTAGTACTGGTAGTCTTAAGACAAACATTCATGGCAAAACCATGAGGAAGGAAGGAGCAGTAGGGAAGGGTAAATGTGGACCCTTTTCCACTCTTCAGAGGAAGCATAAAAGACAAAGTAGAGTTAGTGCTATTTTGATAATCTCGATTCTCTGTTGACTTGGCAGATGGAGGCTGATAGGTCTGAGGAGCATGACAGGCCTCTCAGTGTTTCAGTGTTCAAGGCTCATTCTTGACACCCTGGGGTTGGTGGTGGTCTTCCTCTAAGCATGAAAATCCTATTCTTGATACAGCTACAGTCCATTTAATACAAATGGACAAGGCAACAGACAAAAAAACTAACAGAACATAAAAGTTTATCTTGAACCTAACTTCAATTTTATTTGTAAGATAAGATTGTAAGATTGACTATATGTGCATATATATATATCTATATCTATGCCTATAAATAAATGGAATGAAATGTAGCAAACAAAATACTAAAAATGATAGTGCTGGGGGTGAGATGATAGGTGATGTGTCCACTTTTGTTTAGTCTCTTAAATTTCTTAAGATAAACACCCATAGTCAGAAGAACGCCTTTTATTTAAGAAAAAAATGTTATTTTTAAAAATACTTTTTGTTGTTTATAGGGTTCTACATTTACAAATGCGTGCTGAACTGATTATGACATTTGACTGTTTGTTATGGATGTTGCTTAATTCTGAGAATACAGACTATATTTCTCAATAGTAACAATAACTTTTAAGCAATTTCTAAACAAATAAAGAGTTACTCATTTTTTGAAGGAAAACAAAGGATAGGTACTGTTCTCACAGCTGTTTTTTAGTTAAAATTATAGAATATGTAATTTAACTAGAAGACAGTCATTTCAAATATACTTAAGTAGTTCAAATAATTACACGGAGACAATGCAGATATTTCTCTGTTAGATAAACATATACTATTAGAAAACAGGATGATTTAAGGAAAATTCACAAATCTTTGTTAAAAAATTTAAATCAGTATTTTAATAACTGAGAAGGATTTTATGTGAAACAAGTAGCCTTTCTGAAATAAGCAATCAAAATAATTCATTAAAGCAGTAATCACTAGTAAGCTTGGCTGTTGTTCTACTTGATATGTAAACAAAATTGGTAAACATTGTTGAAATAACACCTCAGGTACTTCAACTTTCTTTATTACTGAGGAAAAAATAGCAGTTCATTATCACTCTGAATTTTAATTTTTTCCCACTGGAATACAGAAAGGAAGATTCAACCAAATAAATAGTTGATAAGACCATTAATGAGAACTAAATAATTTTTCAGCCTAGATATAAGCAGGACCAACTAAACTTAGTAATCAAGGCAAACTTTTGAAAGTATTAAAGATTAATTGAACAAATTCACAGTTGTTATAGGTTTACATGACTTATCAGTGTATTTAAGAACATAATTTGTGTGGAATAAAGAGGATTAACAAATTGATGTCAGATTTGCTTCTCTATCCTTTCACCTCTGTGCTTACTTTCCTCTCTCCCATACTCTTCATTCCCTGTTATATTTTTCTTGCAAAGTTAAAATTTACATTTTAGGGAGGAAAGCATTTATCTACTGCATGCACTTTTGACCTTGCCTCCCTCTCTTATTGGAAAACCCTTGTATCTCTTTGGCTGTATTATTTTTTCAAGATTGACTTTCTTCCTTTGTAAGGCTATACTTATCTGAGATGGTAGTCAGTCTGAACTTGTTTTAATGTACTTTTATGTATAAGCTTTATGTACTTTTATGAACTTTTAAAGTATGTGTTATATTTACATGTATATTACCGTAATCTAATAGTTTGTTTTCTACTTTATGAGAGTGTCAAAGGAAGGAAGAATCACTGATGTTTCATGTATAGATAAAATTGGAGACTAAAAGCAGGTTTGGAAGAGAGTTAGAAGCCTAAGAGAATCATTTTGATAACTTTCTACTGCTAACTAATAAGGAGATAAAGTGAGACCTAATTTTTGGAGATCTGAGTATAAAAATTCAGGTGTTTTAGAATCTAAGCAAAAACTTTGCTAGAAAAGTGCCACTCATTGAAGTGTTGCAGATCTATGATATGACATTCATTCCCATTTAATTTATTTATCTTTTGCCACTAGTTGGCAGTATGACTGAATTACAGTTTGATATTCTGCCACCATATAAGTGCCCAGAGTATTCACTAATATTGACCATGTTTGGGAGTTCAGATATTAGCTGTCTGGAGTTAGGGTGAGATGCCATTAGGATGTCTCTTTGATATCTGAGACCTGTCACTTAAACTTCCAAGTAAAATATGTAAGTGATTCTCAGTCACACTTTTTAAAGTAATACCAGACTTACAAAGTGACAGAATGGGCTGGACTGCATATTACTTTGATTTAGAATTTAAACAAGTTTCTGCTGGAGGTCCCAGAAGATGTCCATGTTGGGGTTTCTAATCTAAGAACAGAAAGACAAGTTATGTAAGTTTGAGACTTAGGGCAGGGACAGAGAAATCATTTTTAGTGGAAAGGGAGAATGGGATGAGGTTGGAACTAAGAATGTAGCTATTCACAGTCATTTATGCCAAGCAACTTGCTTAGGTTCAAAGCCAAAGTATCAGGAGCAGGGATAATATAGTTTGAATATTTGTCTCCACCTAACTGTCATGTTAAAATGTAACTCCAAGTGTTGAAGGTGAGGCCTAGTGGGAGGTGTTTGCATCGAGGGGCAGATCCCTCATGAGTGAGTTGGGCCATCCCTATGGTGATAAGTAAGCTCTTCCTCTGAATTCAAATGAGATCTGATCATTTAGAAGGTGTGACACTTTCCTCCCACTCTCTCTTGCTCCCACTTTTGCCATATGATGTGCCTGTTCTCCCTTTGCCTTCCACCGTTATTGTAACTTTTGTGAAGCCCTCATCAGAAGCCGAGCAGATGCTGGTGCCATGCTTGTACAGCCTGCAGAACCGTGAGCCAATTACACTTCTTTTCTTATAAATTACCCAGTCTCAGGTATTTCTTTATAGCAATGCAAGAACAGCCTAATACAGGAAATTGGTACCAGGAATGATGTATTGGTATAAATAAATATACCTGAAAATGTGGGAGCGGTTTTGGAGCTGGGTAATGGGCAGAGGTTGGAAGAGTGTGGAGAACTCAGAAGAAGGTAGGAAAATGAGGTAAAGTTTGCAACTTCTTACAGACTGGTTAAATGATTGTGAGCACAATGATGACAGAGATATGGACAGTAAAATCCAGGCCAGTGAGGTCTCAGATGGAAATGAGGAAGTTTTGGGAAATGGAGCAAAAGTCACTTTTGTTAGGCCTTAGCAAAGAACTTGGCTGCATGTTGCTCATGCCCTAGGGATCTGTGGAAGTTTGAACTTTGGATTGATGACTTAGGGTATCTAGTAGAAGAAATTTCTAAGCACCAAAGTGTTCAAAAATTTTCCTGGCTGCTTCTGACAGCCTATGCTCAGATGTGGGGGCAAAGGAATAACTTAATGTTGGAACTGATTTTAAAAGGGTAGCAGAGCATAAAATGGCAAATTTGCAGCCTGGCTATGTGGCAGAGAAAGAAAACGTTTTTATTTGGCACAGGAATTCAAGAAGGATGTGAAGTAACCACTTGCTAGAGATATTTGCATAACTAAAAAGGAGCCAAGTGCTAATAACTAAGACAATGGGGAAAAGGCTTCAATGGCATTTCCAAGACCTTCGCAGCATATCCTCCTGTAACAGGTCCAGGGGCCCAGGAGGACTGAATTATTTTGAGGGCCAGGGCCCTGCTGCCCTAAGCAGCCTCAAGACACTGCTCCCAGCATCCAGGCTGCTCTAGCTCCTGCCGTGGCTCAAAGGGGCCCAGGTACAACTTAGGCTTTCATTTTGGAGAATGTAAGTCACAAGTCTTGGCAGCTTCCATGTGGTGGTAAGCACATAGGTGCACAGAATGCAAGAATAAAGAAAGCTTGGCAGCCTCTGCCTAGATTTCAGAAGGTGTATAAGATTTCTTATACACCCTTGCTTGGGTGTCCGGGTAGAAGCCCATTGCAGGGGAGGAGCCTTCAGAGAGAACTTCTGCTAGGGCAGTGTGGAGGGGCAATGTGGTGTGGAACCCCTACACAAAGTCCCCACCAGGGGACTGCCTAATGAAGCTGTGAGAAGGGAGCCACCATCCTCCAGACCCCAGAATAGTAGATCCACTGGTAGCTTTTACCCTGCACCTGGAAAAGCCACAGGCACTCAATAACCTGAGAGAGTAGTTTTGAGCAATGAATGCTACAAAGCCACAGAGGCAAAGCTGACGAAGGCCTTGGAAGCTCACTCCTTGTACCACTGTGCCCTGGATGTGGGACATGGAGTCAAAAGAGGTTATTTTGGAGATTTAAGATTTAATGTCTGCCCTGTTGGGTTGTGAACTTGCATGTGGCCTGTAGTCAGTTTCTTTTGGCTGATTTCTCCCTTTTGGAACAGGATTGTTTACCCAATGCCTGTACACCCATTGTATCTTGGAACTAAATAACTTTTTTTTTTTTTGTAAATTTTCAGGCTGATATGGTTTGGCTGGGTCCCCATCCAGACCTCAACTTGAATTCCCATGTGTTGTGGGAGGGACCCAGTGGGAGGTAATTGAATCATGGGCGCAGGTCTTTCCCATGTGGTTCTTGTGATAATGAGTAAGTCTCACAAGATTTGATGGTTATTATAAGAGAGAGTTTTCCTGCACAAGCTCTTTTTGCTTGCTGTCATCCAAGTAAGACATGACTTGCACCTGCTTGCCTTCTGCCATGATTGTGATGCTTCCCCAGCTACTTGGAACTGTAAGTCCAATTAAACCTCTTTCTTTTGTAAATTTCCCAGTCTTGAGTATGTCTTTATCAGTAGCATGCAAACAGGCTAATACACAAGCTTATAGGTGGAAGGGACTTGCCTTGTGAGATGAGACTTTGGTCTATAAACTTCTGAGTTAATGCTGGAATGAGTTAAGACTCTGGGGGATTATTAGGAAGACATGATTGTATTTTGAAATGTGAGAAGGACATGAGATTGGTTGGGGTGACTGTCAGCGGCAGAATGATATAATTTGGATATTTGTCCCCACCCAAATCTCCTGTTGAAATGTGATTCCTGGTGTTAGAGGTGGGGACTGGTGGGAGGTATTTGCAGGATGGTGGTGGATTCCTCTTGAATGCCGTGGGCCATCCCCTTGGTGATAAGTGAGCTCTTGTGCTGAGTTCATATGAGATCTGATAATTTTAAAGTGTGTGGCACCTCCCAGCCACTCTCTCTTTCTTGCTTCTCCTTTTGCCATGTGGTGTGCCTGCTCCCCGTTTGCTTTCTGCCATGATTATAAGCTTTGTGAAGCCCTCATCAGAAGCTGAGCAAATGCTGGTATGGCCTGCAGAGCCATGAGCCAATTAAACCTGTTTTTAAATAATTACTGACTCTCAGTCTTTATAGCAATGCAAGAATGGTCTAATACAAGGGATATTAGCTCAGGGATCTGGAGAAACTAAAGGTATATACCAGGTATACAATGGCAGGAACACAAGTACTGGTAAATCATTGAACTAAAAAAAAAATACATTTTAAAGTGGGCATGACCCCCAGCTATAAGAGTGACTGGACCCAAAGGTCACCAATAAATAGAGCGCAGGGAGAATATAAAGAAGTGTTAGAATATGTATTAAGTGAATGATGCTGACTAGTTTAATCTACTAGAAATTTAAAAATTAAGAAGTATACTTTTGAACAAAGATCTAAATCAACATAAGGATCACAACATAACAATTTATTTTTAATTCCAGATTTATGATCAGATGACCCCTGGGGCATTGCTTCCTCTAGCTATGGTTTGCATGGCAGACTTGTCAGTAATCACTATTTTCCTTTCTGCAAATTGAGTAGATTTTCAAAGATTGTCTAAATAGGCAGACACCTTCAGCTACAATAATTGATACTGCAAGATCTTTCTTCCTCTTTAAAAAGTTGATGTTAGTGTAAAATAAATTTGTAAAAATTCACTTGCTACCTTCCTTTAAATCCATTATTCCATGATTTGTACATAAAATTAGATTAGGAATAATAACAAAAACTATCACTGTGACACATAAACACTGTGAGATCTCTGGTGAACACTCTTCCATCTCATTAAAAGTGAACCAGTAAGTTTTTTTTTGATAATTCTTTCGTTTATCTGATAGAAATGATAAGCCATCACTTTATTTGTGGTAATGATGTCATTTATTCATTCGTTTAATGAATGTATGGATAAAAAAAGTCATGCAGGTTCTAGTGGTGCCCAAATAAAGGGCACAATTCCATTCTGAGTGGAATTGGCAGGCTATGGATGAGGAGAGTTTCTGAGATGCATTTTGAATAATAAAGGGATGAAAATTAAATGAAACAAGAGAATGACAAGAGCATGAGCAAAGGCAGTGAGGTAAGCCAGCATGGTGTGTCCAGAGAAGTGTGAGTAGCTTGGTGTTGCTGGAGCATCAGATTCAAGGCATCTGATGTGGAAAATGAGGCTGTGAGAAGCAGGGGCACTGAGGGCAGGAGATCAGTGTTTTAGCTCATGCAGTCAAGCAAAGAGTGAATTCAATCTGTCTCTACTGCCTTTTTGTTCTATTTAGGCCCTCAATGGATTGGATGATGCCCACCTACATTGGCGAGAGCCATCTGCTTACTCAGTCCACCAATCCAAATGTTAATATCTTTCAGAAACATCCTTATAGATACACACAGAAGTAATGTTTAAACAACTATTTGGGCATCCCTTGGCTCAGTCAAGTTGACACAAAATTAACCGTAACACTAGTAATGTGCATTTAAGTTTCTCCCTTCCTTTTAGTGCAGGATAGTATCTATTGTCTGGATGTACCATATTTTATGTATCCATTTACCTAGTGAAAAACACCTTCTTTGCTCCCAAGTTTTTGCAATTATGATTAAAGCTGCTGTGAATATTCATGTGCAGGTTTTTGTGTGGACATGTTTTTAATTCATTTTGTTAAATACCAAAGAGTTTAATTGTTACATTGTATAATAAGAATATATTTAGTTTTGTAAGAAGCTGCTAAACTTTCTTGCAAAGTGGATGTACTGTTTTGCATTCTCATAGTGATGAATGAGAGTTCTTGTTACTACACATCCTCTCCTGTATTTGGTATTGTCAGTCTTTTGGATTTTGGTCATTTTGACAGATATAACCAGAAATCAGTAGTGATTTTTCATTGTTTTAATTTGCAATTTTCTAGTTACATATGATATTGATAGTTGATATGCTTACTTCCATCTATATATCTTCTTTGATGAGGGATATCCGTTCAGGTCTCTTCTTCAATTTTTAATCCAGTTGTTCATTTTCTTACTGGTAAATTTTTAGAATTCTTTGTATATTTTAGATAACTGTTCTTTATCAGATGTGCCTTTTGCAAATATTTTTTCCCAATCTATGGTTTGCCTCCTCATTATAAAATAATTCACCTTTATAAATGAACATTTTAGGGGTACTTACATGTATTATTAACAGAAATCTAGGTAAATAAGTAGTGTAAACCAAAAACTAAATTCCGAGGCACTTCAACCATGTGAATGGACCCCCCCTCTCAGCCAAGAGTATTCCAGAGTTATCATTAAAAAACTAGTTCAGACCATGATGGAAGAGGGGTTCAGACATGCCTCATTATACTCCTCCAGCATTAACATCAAGACAGACCTTAATTCTGATAAGAAACACTTACTATCTATTCTCTCTGAAGCCTGCTACTTGGAGGCTTCATCTGTATGATAAGACCTTGTTCTCCACAACCCCTTATCTTAACCCAAATATTCCTTTCTATTGATAATAACTCTTTTAAGCAATTGCCAGTCAGAAAATTTTTAAATATACCTGTGACTGGGAAGCTCCCCGCCCCCACTTCGAGTTGTTTTGGCTTTCGAGGTTGAACCAATGTAACTCTGACATGTATTGATTGATGTATTATGTACCATTAGAATGTATAAAAGCATGCTGTATGCCAACCACCTTGGGCACATGTTGTCAGAATTTCCTGAGGCTGGGTCATGGATGTGTCCTTACCTTCACAAAATAAACTTTCTAAATTGACTGAGACCTGTCTCAGATACTTTCGGGTTCACAGTAGCTATAATAAAATGCTGTATTACCATCTTGTTTGCTAACACTATTTTTCAACCAGAGAACAATAAGGACACATAGCTCAACTGGCATGCTGAAGATAATATCAATATTGGGTCCTGAAAAGCTGTATCATTAGAATGTAGTAAACTAGAGATGAAACACAGATGTTTTGTGGGACTTCCTAAAATGGTAAGAAAGTGTTCTAAGGAAAAGAAACAGCAGACATTTTGGTAAGGCACCATTATCTTCCCCAACCTTGTAGATACTCTCCTCAGTTATAAGTGAAGAAAAAAGAAATTCTAGCCAGTATCTGGCTGCTTATGATGGTGAAATGCATATGATGCATATGAAGCATGTTACTTATAGGATCTCTGCAAACCACACCTAGTGGAGGAAACGAAATTATGATGAATCAAGGAGCAGTTTAGAAGCAAAGTACTGCAGAGAGAATACAACTGTTGTGAATACTTGTATCACCTAGGTATTGAATTTGTTTGGGATTTGTTGTGAAAAATCATGAAAGTCATAGAAGAAATATTAGTTTAAACAGTTGTTTATAAACTGTATTCCAACAGGGAAGCTGTACAGGAATAGAAGGGTTCAATAGGTAGTCCTATGCTTCTCATCATTTCTTATTGACGAGAATATTATTTATTTATATTAGTTTAACATCTTGTGTTTTGACTTGTGCTTTTATTTTTATTTTTTGGAAAAAGTGTTCTGCAACTAAAAAAAATTGAAAACCAATACATTAAATTATTCTGAACTGTAAAGTTTAAAGAATTCTGATGTTCTGCAATACTCCTTAACCTAATGAACTTTAAATTCTTTGCCTATAATTATCATTAATCATGTTAAATTCAAGCCTCAACATTACTGAAGAAAATAAATTGGAACTATCACCTTAATCATGGTTTACCTGTCTTTCGTTCAGCTGCTCAAAAGTATAAATATATTCCACATAATGTACATACACTTGTATAGTTGGAATGTAATTATTTTTTCAGAAGCAGTTTATTAATGTTTTAAGTAGGTAATGCAATTTTGGATTAGTTATTTTTAATCCCTTAGAGTTTTCATTGTAACACATACTTGGTGCGTTATTTGTATGAACTTTCTTGTTATGAGAAGTTTTACTTAGATACCTTGTCAATAAACATTAGACTCAGTCACCTGTTGAAATATGATATATTAAATAAGCCATTAAAATCATTTTTTTGTGTGTGAATTTGTCATTGCAAGAAACTGATTTTTTTACACCTTCAATAAATGTTAAATCATTGTGATCTGCCTGGATTAACTAGATGAGAGGCATTTCTTTGAACTTGAGACTGCGTTTTCCTTTTTCTGTGATTGAACATATACTTTTACATGAAAGGATCAATGCTTTAAAAATTGGTTCATGCAGGGGCGTTCAGTTTTAAGGCACTGGCTCATGGTAACTAATCATGTATTACTCATTTGTAAGTCGGATGGAGATTTGTTTACAGTAGGGATTATATTCCAGTCATAGTAAGAAACCTAATGTCTACTGTGCAGGTCAAAATGTTTCTTATTAACACTACCAGGAAAACTGAACTAGTAAGTTAAATGACTAGTAAGGGTGAAAATAGTGTAAAGATAGTTGAATGGTATTGAGAAATATTTCACCCAGGATGGAGGAAATGCAGGAGATTTATCTATATAATACACATCTGTTTAGTTACTTGAATATTCCTGACAGCCATTTGCTCTTAGACAATGCTGGTTAGCATTGACTCATTTTTAATGTATAAGCTATCTTTTTTTTATGCTCCATGCAAGATCATGGCTTTTCTGACATAAAATAAGGATATCACTTCAGATACACTACAAAAGAGCAGAGTGGTTTATAATTTTCCAGGAAACTGAGGTGTGTTTGATCTCCTTGATTGAATTAAGTACAATGCACTGATTGTTTGGAGAAATTACTGCTATAGATGGCCACATGCATTAATATAGATTGGGTTATTTTTCAAATTTATAATGGTTTTGCTCCTCTTCACCAGAAGTAATTCATGGTAGTCTTATAATGTTGCCTCCCAGGCATTGGTGATTAAGTTGAATTAGACACCTGGCACAACAGGCTCCAACTAGGTTCTCCTTTCATTGGGATTTTGGAGTTGGGAATGAGACAGAAGTGACCCTTTGCTTATGCATAACATTTACCATGTGAAATCTGAAGCTATGTTGTGGCCCTAACATTCCAAACAGATAAAGAATCTGACAGAAGAATAATGAAGCTATGCAAAAAGAAACAACATTGAGAAAAGAAAAAAAAACTTTTAATAGTTTACATTTCCTTTATTCTAGGTAATTTCTGAGGTCCATCTGCAAACCTATTTAGGTACCATAGGACCTCTCTCCCACATTTCTTTAAATCCCTTTTTTTGTTTAAGCAAGCTTGAGTTGTTTCTGTCACTTGTATCTAACATAGCTCACTAAATAATAGTAGAATTCATGAATGAGAGAATCAATATGAGGACACATGTATGTAACATGGTATGTGCTCAATATATTTTAATTACACCTGATATTGAAATGTTATGATTTTTAAACTTTCATTTTCAGAGGGTAACCTTTATCTGACTTTGTCCTCAAATTCTGGGATTCCTTTGGAGTGCCCCCTCAAGCTCTTTCTGCAACCATATTTAAGATTAACTTCAAATCTAAGGTTACATAAAATCATTTGCCTTATTTAACAAGGCAAAATATTGAGACATTATCCTCTAAGAAACAAAGTAATAAGTCATAGTTAGAGCTAATGAGTTGCTATTGAATTTGTACAGGCGAATCAAGGACCTTCTCTCATTCAGCTAGAAATGCTGATCTTATGTTAGCTTGCCATTGATATCTTAATCTTATTGACAAAAATGTAAAAGTGTGAAGCATAGTGTGACTTCTGTGTTGAATCTACTGAATGAGTAAAATCTGAAAGGAGTGGACATTGTTAACTGGGAGTAATGTTTAATTTTTTTACCTCTACAAATTGCTACTTTAACATTTTAAAATTTGTATAAAGCCTTATTTATTTTTTGATTTGTATCTTTATGACCCAATCCTCTTAGGAATTTTTGTGTGTGTGTGCAGTATATTTACTGTGTAATTTTATTGTTTCAAATGTATAGTGACTGGAGAGGATGATAGGTTTGGACTTGTTTGATCAATTCCTTCAGGTACTAGTTCCCTTTAATTGCAGTATTGATTGCTGCAGGTATAACGGGACTTGTGACTTCATAAGACACACCATGTCAGCCTTCAGAGGAAGTAGAAGCTTTGGAAGCAAGTGGTTCAGGTTACTATTTATCTCATGACCCTATGAAAGTCGACATGTGTCATCAAAAGTGACATGCCAAAGATTCAGATTTCTTTGGCATAGCTTCTGAAAGTTAAGACAATTCTCTGAATCTTTATAGTCTTGAAATCTCTCCATGTAGTTTTTCCCTTGAGAATGTTAGTATTTCTTTAGTTCATCAAGGTCCGATGAAAAGCAGTTTTTTGTCTTCTCTAGTTCCTGGTTGGCCTTTTTGTTTCAGATAACAACCAGTAGAAGAAGAGTTTTGAAATCCTGGGATCTCATAATTTAGTAATGGAAATAAGCCATAGATACAAATAGTGTCAACCCAAGATGGTCTGTAGTGGACTAGCTGAGACTGAGGCAACAGGGAAGCGTAACTGTGGAAAGTGAATATGAAGCTGCTGAAGCTGACTCAGCCACTTTTTAGCTTCTTCTGTGTTGGTGACCTTGAGCAATAAATACGATCTATGTCACTTTCAGTTTTCTCATCTGAAAAATAAGAATAAGAATGATATTCTTACAGTATAATATTACCCCTATAATATTATATAATATGGTATAATTAGGGAAGATGCCAAGAAAGAAAACCTAACTGAAGGGATACGTAGGGTTTCAAAGCCTGAGGTGGTAGAAAATGCTTCTTAAGTGGTGGAGATCAGAGGTGTGAAATTTTAAGGTATGACCACAGAGAAGCTAGAAAACTAGTTTGACAGGTGACTAATACTTATGTGTGCCAGAGTTTGTTAAACTTTTCGGCTGGAAGACCCCTAAGGCCATGGGGAAATGACTGATCCTAGGGAAGGAAACACCACCACCGTCACCTCTACCATTGCCACAATAATAACACATTTATCAAGGGCTTGAATAGAGAATATTGTATTTTATGTGTAAACAATTGTATTAATTAGCTTAATGTATACTTACTACTCACAAATTATTTTCTCTTTATACTTTAACAACAAAGCCCAAAGAACCAGGCTCTTATATCTACACTGTCTCAGCTGAGTGCTAACATAACCCAAATAAATATTTCATTGCATGAGATAAGGAAAGTGAGGCTCACAATTAATGAGTTAGTATGTGTTAGAGCTGAGTCTTGGGAATGTGAGTACCAGAGCACTCTCTCTAAGCCTGTCTGTATACTGCTTCTGGGGATTTGGTTGTGGGTGTCAATATTTTTGGAAAGCTATTATTCTATTCTATTCTTATTATTTTTAAATCACAAAAATGTTGAATGTAACTCTATAATACATGCATTTGTTTTGATATAATATGTTTTTAAATTTTTTTCTGTGCAAATGCTTTCCTCTACCTATTAAGTACATTAATAGTATAATACATACTATCAATTTCAAAAAATCTCATATTTTTAAGTGTTTCCTTTCAAGGTTATTAAGTTATAACCTTGAAAAATATTCAGACAATTTTTTTCTTTTTTTCTTTTTTTTTTCTTTTTTTCTTTTTTTTTTGGAGACAAGGTCTCACTCTGTTTCCCAGGCTGGAGTGCAGTGGTGTTATCTCAAACTCCTGGGTTCAAGCAGTACTCCTGCTTTGACCTCCCAAAGTGCTGGGATTTCAGGCATGAGCCGCCAGCTGGCCCACACAAATTCTTAATTTGTTTGTTTGATGATACTTTTTACTATATAATTCCTAGCCAAGACTTTGTTACTTTGAGAAAAAAAAATCAAATGCTCTTTCTTCAACATTTGCATAATTTTAAAATTTGCTGTAATATTAAGTTTCACGTAGTTAAGGTTTTGTGAAGACAGAATAAATTTGTCTTTCTCGAAGTATCATAGTTTTTAAATTTATGATTTATAGTTTAATGCTTGTTATAAAGAAATATAAATGTCCCTTAAAAATTATAAATGGATTTCTAAACTTCAAATTTACAGTTGCTTGAACTATGTATTGTAGGGCATTAATACAGGATAATTTTCAAAAAAGTAGTTGTCTCTGTATCTTTTCCTAAAATCACATAAGATTCAATTCTAATTAATATTATCTGCCTTATTAAAGAAAATAATTGCATTCCAGGTGTAAACAGTTGTATTAATTTACTTAATGTGAACTTACTGCTTATGTTATTTTCTGTTAATACTTTAACAATGAAACACAAGTGCTAGTTTGAATTAGTTATGTTTCATATCTTGATTAGCAGCATTTCTCTGGGAAAAAACAAAGTTTGCAAGATTTATGAAATCCAGGTATAATTCAATAAATACAAAAAATGTATTTATTGATAGTAATGAATAGATACTAAGCACATCTTAGGAATAACAAAGCAAAACAAAATTCCCAAAAGAACCCCAGATATCTGAATAGCACGATTTGCTTGTTCTAGTCTTAAATAAGAACTTAAATAGATGCACTTTTAAGTCTTAATTTTTATAGTACAGGCTGGTCCCTAGAGAAGTGAATTAAGATTATATTTACATGTAACATTTTAGAGTGTAGGTAGCAAGCCAGAAAAGAGAGAAATAAAGATTTAAGAAGCCATCATGCCTATGGTACTGCTTTCTTCTCGGGCATGTGGCCAAAAGTTTGCCCTTTTTTGTCCAGGAGGAAAATAAGACTGCTATTTTGGTTAAGATTCCTTAGTAATAGAGAGTTACTTAAAAACAGTACCCCAAATATAATGTATTAAAAAAATGAAATGCAGAAACTTCTTGTAAATTTTCTTTTCTTTTTAAAAAATATACCTATATGAAAAAATAAACAATCTGAGGGATCAGTAGTTTCTGGTTAGGGAGTTTCAGTTTCAGTTCCATAAAACACGAAGTGATTTTTAAAAATTGTCTCTACTCTTGAGGAGTTTAAGTTTAGCAGCATATAAAAAAGTAAGTAAATAATTATATTATCTTATTCATTACATTCTACCTGTAGAGTACAGAGGAGTGCAGTGAAGTTGAGATTAAAAAGGTATCACAGAGGAGGAGTTGATATATGATGAGAAGAATTGTGAGGTGATATTCATTTAATAAATGAATAAAAGCAAGTACAAAACAACGTGCAAAAGTATGGAGAAGCAAAATAATTAGGTGTGTTCAAAAAATGTGAATTAGGCAATTCTGGAAATGAAGGAGTGAAAGGGACCTGTTGGATAGATATGAGACTGCAGGGCAATCATATGAAGCAAACTGTGATATGTTTGCTTAAGATACTTAAAGTTTTATGATTTAGATGATAGTACATTAGGATAGTTTCTGAGTCAGCTTTGCAAGATAAGACTGTTCACATTACTAGTGTGGAAAACAAATTCACTAGTAGTGAACCTGGTGATAGCTGGTTTCTCCATTGACCAAACCTAAGCAGAGAAAGCCAGAATATGTGGGAGCTCACTGTAATAATCCCTATAAGTCATCTTCTTAGGGCACAGAGCAAGAAGTGGAGAGGGTCAGGAATGGGTCTGGAAGGTCAAGTGGAAGATATTCATCATAGAAGGACCCAGGGAGGGCTGACTCAGGCAGAACATGCCAACCAAGATAAGATACGATCCTCGAGAGAAGGAAACTAGGCAATATCAACACAGACAAGAAAATGAGAAGTAAATCAATACAGTGGTTGTTATAGAAAAGTTTGATGTTAGTTAAAAGGTTATTTTTCATAGTTTAAATGAGAAATGCACAGCACTAAATCTAAGAGATAGGTGATAAAGATGGAGAAGTGGGACAGATTGAGAGTCATTTCAGTAAGATTTAGTGATTAATACACCTAGTGAGAAGGAGAGAATCACATCAATTTCCAGGAGTATAGCTTTGGGGAGGGAAAATGATAATAGATTCAGTTTTGGATATGTTGAGTTTCAAGCTTCTGTGGAATACGTGGGTTGTAAAATTCAGTAGAAACCGCATATCTGCATATATATGTATATGCTTATGCAAATGCATATAATATCTATGTGTGTATGAATGTGTATGTGTGTGTATATATGTGTGTATTTTTGTATGTGTGTGCATCCAATCATGGGGAGTCAAGATGGTCATAATATAAAATATCATGGAGAGGTCAAGAAACAAGAAGATAAGGTCAGTAGAGTGTATGTTGGATAGTATAGATGATGATCTTAATAAGAGCAGTTTTAGTGGAATGGTGTGAAAATAAGTTATTTTCCAATGGGTCAAGTGGTGAAAGGAAGTGAGGAATAGAAAGCAGTGAGTCTACATTCGTCTTGTAAGAAGTTTTGTGAAATAAATTAAAAACGATTATGATTGCTTGAGGGGCAGTTAGGATGGAAGTTCCTTGAAGAAACATTCATAGGGTACATGCAAGTGTTACTTAACATTGTAAGGCTACAAAATTTTAGACTTGGGAATTTAAGGAGCATACTTTAGAAGGATAGCAACATCCAGATTTAAAGGGGTATTGTAATCCTCAATAGGGAGTAAACAAGTACAACGTGTGTCTCTTTCTCTTGCATCTCAAAGCATATATGCTAGCACCCGAACAAGACAGTATATGGTGTTATATATTGGTGCAAATGTAATCACGGTTTTGGGCCATGAATTTTAAATCATTATAACTAGGCTCAAACATGTTTATTAAAGAAACTTGGAATCATTGCAATCAACATACTTTTGCCAATGAGAAATGTTTGTTTATTCCTGTAGTGGAAAAATCCATGCTTTGAGATTCGATGAACTCTTGGAAAGCATTTTCGGCATCCTGCTGGTTGTGAAAGCATTTTTCCCTGCAAAATGTTGTGGAGATGCTTGAAGAAGTGGTAGCTGGTTGATGAGGTCAAGTGAATATGGCAGATAGGGCAAAACTTCGTAGCCCAATTTATTCAACTTCTGAAGCATTGGTTGTGTGATGTGCAGTCGGGTGTTTTCATGGAGAAGAATTGGGCTCTTTCTTTTGACCAGTGGTGGCTGCAGACATTGCAGTTTCTGGTGCATCTCATCCATTTGCTGAGCATACTTCTTAAATGTAATGGTTTCGACAAATTCAGAAAACTGTAGTGTATCAGACCAGCAGCAGACCACCAAACAGTGACCATGAGCCTTTTTTGGGTGCAAGTTTGGATTTGGGAAGTGCTTTGGAGCGTCTTCTCGGTCCAGCCATTGAGCTGGTCATCATCGGTTGTTGTACAAAATCCACTTTTCATCACATATCACAATCTAATCAAGAAATGGTTTATTGTTGTTGCATAGAATAAGAGAGAACAACACTTCAAAACAATGACTTTTTTTGATTTTCATTCAGCTCATGAAGCACCCACTTATCGAGCTTTTTCACCTTTCCAATTTGCTTCAAATGCCAAATGACTGTAGAGTGGCCAACGTTGAGTTCTTCAACAACTTCTCTTGTAGTTATAAGAGGATCAGCTTTGATGATTGCTCTCAATTGGTCATTGTCAACTTCCAGTGGCTGGCCACCACACTCCTCTTGTTCAAGGCTCTTGTCTCCTTTGCAAAACTTCTTGAACTGCGACTTCACTGTTCGTTAGCAGTTCTTTGGCCAAATGCATTGTTGATGTTGCACTTGTCTCTGCTGCTTTATGACCCATTTGGAACTCAAATAAGAATATCACTCGAATTTGCCTTTTATCTTACATCATTTCCATAGTCTAAAATTGATGTAAAATAAACATCAAGTAACAAGTCATTAGCAAAAAAAATTGTGAAATGCACATTAAAATGATGTATAACATAACCACATTTATTTAAGAATGTATTCCATTACCAAACGGTAAATTTCAACAGTGCAAAAACTGCAACTGCTTTTGCACCAACCTAATTTAGGGTACTGTTAACCTGATCTTCTGGGTCACACATTGTCCCTGACTTGAAGGAATACTGAAGTTAAACAGAAGTGTATTTCTTTCTTTTTTGACATTTCTAAAATATTTATTCATTCATTTAAAAGTAACAGCAATAAGCCCACTACATGTAAAAATAAATACTTTTTTTAATAAAAATTATAGTTTCCAAACAAAAATTTAGTGAGAAGAGTTGAGCTGTTTTACATTTTTACAAATTTCGTTAAAGTCTAACTTAAGGAAAATGATAGAAGATAGCTGTATTCTCTTATCTGCTTCTGTGCTCAGTCTGTTGTGATATGTTCTTTTGGTTAAAGAATATTTAGGAAGTCCAGCTCACTCGGATGAGTAGCTGGAAAGCAAGGAATGTGTTAATAGCTTTTTCAGATAATCGCGAATGTTCTGCTTTGATACTGCACCAGAATTTGACAAGTAGTAGTTTCTTTGTTCCAATGTGAAATCTGAAAACACTGATGAATTTTCCATACTTGATTACCTTAACATTTTGTATTTTAAATTTTATAACATTATTCATTGGTCATTTGGAAAATATTAGTTTACTAAGTTGTGTAGATCTTCCAGATGTTCTGCAGAGACTCTCTACTGCTGAGAAAGGAGAATATCCAGATGATTTTTAGTATTAGGTTGTAAATGACATCACCACTGAGTGATGAGCCTTTATAGATGTGTAGAGATTTTTAACAGACAGAGCAAGCTTCCATCTTCTCTTTTTCACCCATATTGTATATGACAAATCATACACACACACACACACACACATTCACACCACACATACACAAGCCCTTCATACTAGTGTAAGTCAGTGTGGAATAGTAGTTTTCGATGGGTGTGGGTTGGTGATTTTGCCTCCCCTAAGGGGTTATGGAGACTTTTTTGGTTGTCACAACTGGGGTATTTGTGACTAGAGTATCATTTAGTGGATAGAAGCCAGGGATGCTGTTAAACATCTTATAATGCAAAGGACACTCTCACCGACCACAAAGAATTATCCAGCTCAAGATGTTAATAGTGGGGCTGCTGAGAAATTCTGGTGTAGAGTTCCGAGGAAGAAGAGGAAAATATAAGAGAGATTATCTTGCCCCTACTCATCTATTCCTCAAAGAAAGGGGGTAGATGTGTCCTGGCATCTGCCATTCCTAGTATTCCTTATGAAATGGTGGGGTTTCAGAACTAGAAGAAACCAGGGCTCTGTTTTACAGCTGACATTGAGAGTCACAACTCATAAAGATATCCTGCCATACTGAAACATGGATGGGGAAGCAAGACCTATGGCCCCATGGTGAAGGCAGTGTGGTCATAAGAGTGGTCCAGGGTCATCCCCTGAGATTCCCACTTTACTAGAGTAGCATGGAAGCAATCCAGAAATTCCTATGGCCCAAGTAGGCTGAGAGTGATGTTCATGTGTTTTCCAGTAACTAAATGCAGCATGGAAGAGAATCTCATTAAAGGCTCCATCAGAGAGGTTGTACAAAGCCACCAGCTAAGCATGTGGGGCAGAGGGACCCATGTTTTCACGAGAAGCAGAGACCCAGGGGTTCTCCTCTGCCATAAAAAGTCATACCAGAAACTCTTCTGCCAGGAGCAGCTCAGGGCAGAGTCGTGCTCGGTCCCAGCTGAAGTTTCCCAAGCTAGGTGAGCTTCTAGAGTATGTGGTCAGGAGTGAAGTGAAGCAAGTGAGAGGCTGGGATGGAATTTAAACAAGATAGTGTTTGTTTTAAATAACCCAGAGCTGGAGAGAGAGAAAACCTCAAATGGATTCAATGAAGATATCTGTATGAGGTGGGGAGGGGTGGAAAGGTCAGGAGCTTGGACTGAGTTAAAAAAAAAAAAGTCTTTTTCTGAACATCTAAATTTTATTGACTGATGTTATTGATATTTCAAATCTACACATTTAAAAATTAATATTGCTTATTCAGTTGCTACATTTCCTCATTGAAGGATTGACCTCAGCTCCCATTTTTTTTTAACAGGATTCAAAAATTATATATGAAAGCATTTACATTTAAATAGTGCTCATGCTAATTTTAGATACATATCCTAAATATCCATCACAATGAATTTAATGATTAAACCATTCTCTATTTTTTGACAATTGGCTGCAATATACATTTTTCACTAAAATTATTGTAATACTATAAAATCAGTGCTCAATTTAAATAAAAATATCAGAAAATGAGGAATCCACAAAAAACAATGTCACTAGGCCACATAAATTTAAAAGGGCTCTCATGGGTGCACAGTTCTAATAAAGAAAATAATATAGCTCTGTTTTATGGAGAACTGGTAAATAAGTTAAAATACTTTTATTTTCTAAAATCTATATAAGTAAACTTTTTTGTCCATAGTAACCATCTTAAAAGCTTATAAGAATACCATGGTATTATTTAGACAAATTCAGGGGGGCTATCTATTGGTGAAAAGAAGTTTATTCTGTTCCCCAATTTATTACTTTTTAATTCTCCTTTTTAGGCAGTCCTCTGCTGAAATAAAATAACTTCCTGAATAAATACAAGTGGTCCTCTCAGTTGTCTCCTGATCTTCCTTGACAATAGAGGTTTCCAGCTGTCTTTTTGCTTCCTTTACTGGCTGCTGCTACATTTATCCCAGCTTCCAGAAGTTCCTTGCCTTTACTTCCCACTCTGCACACTAATAATGCCTTTCCCCATTACGATTTTTCAGTGATGCACCTCACTTTCAGACTCTTACTGTAGAGACAGTAGCAGCTGGGAGGAAGGAAGGTAAAGCACTTAGGAAATGTGGGAGAGAGACCAATGAATATGATTTCAAATTGAGATACTCACTGCAATCTCAAATGTACATTTGCCTCCCATCTCAGTTCTGCTCCTGAAAATGATAAATAATTGTTTAGCTTAGTTGCAGAAATTTCCTGGGTTTCAGTCTATGGCTTGAGCTAAGTATTTAGGGATTTAGGCTGCTGCTCGTTGTTTTTCTTTAAACTATCCAGTGCCATGAGAAGCATCTGCTCACCCCGCAGTCCTTGGAACGCCTTGTTCCTGGCGTATTGTTACATGGCAGTTTCTCAGTTTCTCAGTGCCTTCAATGGCCTCTTTGTTCCAGATTACTGTAGGTGAAATATGAATCGTAGATGTGCAGTTTCATGCTGGGTATTGAGTTTCTCCTCCCAGAATGCTAGACAGATTTTTGTTTCTTTTCAGCTCTAAATAAGCAAGATGAGCAATTCCAGATTCCTTCTTATTTACCAAGATTGTTTAAGGTTAAGCTACTCAGCGTACAACCCTGCACCCCCTGTGTATCATGGTAGCCACTCCAATGTCACCTCTGCAACCCACTCATGGTAACATATTTTTTTCTTGTTAATCAGAATTCTTTACTCTAAAAACACAAATAATCTCTGATGAATTTAAGCTGCCAAGCAATTTATTTGACACACACACACACACACACACACACACACACAGTCTCACAAACATACCAGATATAACAGTAAGGCTGGAGAACTAGGCTCAGAAAAGCTCAGAAAACTTAACTGGCTAGAAGCAGGGGCAAGGTCATCTAAGGAGAACACCCCTAGATGGAGGGCATGGCTGCCACCAGTGGTCACTGGATTCTGCCACTGGTTCTGCTGCCCCTAGACTGTGGAGTGAAGGCTGCTGCTGGCACCACCATGACTGCTTCCCCTAGGCAGCCAGAATTAATTCAAAATTGCTCTATTTCCTTGGCATGAGCATCTGATTGACCAAGCATAGCTTCCAGGAACCAGAGAGAGCAAATGTCTAATTTTTTTAGCTTTTTTATTGGAAGATGGTTCCTAAATTCTACCAAATTAGTACATTGGTGGATTTCCCTGAATACAAATAAGGGCTGTGAGCTGGAAGTATTCCAGTCCTTTTTCAGATCTAAACCTCCATTCTTTTGCACCCTGCTCTATGATCTGAGTTTTAGACTTGCACAGAATCCATCAAGCCATCCCCTTATTGACTGGTCTCAGCTGGGGTCAGCCAACAGAAAGCCCAGGTGGAAGATCAGCGGGTGAGAAGAGAAAGATCAGAGTATGTATCCTTTTGTTTCCCTCACTGCAGTGTCCCCAGGGGCTTGCTGCATCCCTTAAATGAGATGTTAGCTTCTGCAGGAGGTCCTTTCACCCCAGCTTTTGGGTCACTGGGATCCTCTAACTGTTCCCTCTCTTTACTCCCTCAAGTCTATGGGTGGTAATAGCATGAGATGCAGCACCATCCCTTGTGGTTTCTTTATACTCTACTCTCATTTTTGTAAATTGCCCCTTAATTAAATCCTCTTCAAATTATCCTAATTTGAATGTGCCATCTGTTTCTATCTGGGACCCTGAATGATACAGACAGCTTCAAATATGGCAAATGTCCTCTGCAGAGACTTTTCTCCCCATGGCCTAGAGCAGAGCTGTGCCACGCTAAACACTGCATACTTCCTTTCCCTTTTCTCCACTGTGGTCCTTTTTGGCCTTTTGAAAGTAGTCACCCTTTAAGAAAAAGGTACTCTCATGATTATTTAACTGTAATAGGTGCAAGAAAGAACATAGAGAATACAGGTTTTCAAAGCAAAATGATGTAAAATAGAGAAAACAAAATAAAGCAAAACCAAACCAACCCAATATGTCATCTAGAAGAGAGAATATTTTTACTCTTTAACCTCTCAAGAAAGACACAAATTGAATCTGTCAAAGGATAAAGTATGTTATTACTTATACCATAGCACCTTCTACTTGGGTATGCATCTGGTCATTGGATGGTAGCAGGAGAGAAAAGAGTATTGGCCATCACCCTGTGTTGAGTATTAAATGAAATCGTGCATTGTAAACTGTTAAGTATGTGCTGTAGGCTATTATTTTGGAATGAGTTATATAACTCGTGAGCTTAACAGACTGATTGGAATCTATGTGTAAAATCAATGTAACTTTTTTCATTTATTGACTTAGGAATATTTCCAAATATTTGGCTGTTAAAGAGAGAATATGATTTTTTTGTGCTGTAATGCTAGAACCTACTTTCAGTTTAGTAGTTGAACTGACACCATCATTTTCCTATTCTGTATTTTACATTTTATTGTTACAATGGTCTAATGCATGATTCTTTACAAGTATAATTTAGTTTTTAACAAAGGCGATCAAAAGTCTAGGCTGAAGGAATGTTTTCAAATAGAAGAATTTCTGACACTAGAACAAGGGGAGAGTTGTTATGACATATTTAGAGAAAGTAATTCTAGGGCACTTTCCATCACATTGTATATACAGTTCCCTGTTTTGACTAGGCATATATCCAAAGGTAGATTTCTCCATCTGGCATAACCGTACCCTTCCCAGCCTTATGAAAAAAAAATGTTCCTTGTTGGAGCAGATGCAAGCAGTGTCCGTTCATGTCCTTTCTGTACACACATCTACACCCCGAAAGCTGCTTACTGTGAACAACTGTGACTCCCTCCTTGAGGCCTTCAGTCTAACTGAGGGAACATGCTTTCCCTATGTACAAGGCAGGTTGAAAGGGCCAGAAAGTTAATCCTTCGATCAGTCATGGGGGGACAGTGCGCAAATAGCTCAGCTTTCTGATCCCTTGAATGGGATAATATCTCTCCTGAGTGCCCTAACAGGACTGAGCCCACTTGCTCAAATTGGTCTCCCAGCTTTTACGGCCTCCTTCCCTTTTCTATCAGATTGTCCCACTCCTCTGGTGGTGCCTTCTGGATTATCTCTCGAAGTACCCACACTTAATTCTTGTCTCAGTGGCTCTTTCTACGGGTGTCCAAAGACAATTGGTGCAAAAAATGGTTGCAGAGGCAAATCCTTAAACGTGATTCTGGAACTGGATTAGTCATCAGCCAGAGGGCAAGAAGGACCCTATTACAGGTAGTAAGTCGTGTTTATAACTTCTCACGTAAAGAAACTAAGACTTTCACCTGTGTTGCATTAAGAGTGTTTAGTGGGAGAAGAGGGTGCCTTAGTTCAGGCAAAACCTCTAGCCCTTGGGAAATATGGGGTAATGGTAATTATAAAGATTTGACATTGATTGGCAGATGATAACTGCAATAAAAGTCCTTTAGTATAAAAGTGACAGACTTAAAGCAGCCTCCCAACTTAGAGCTTGGTGTGATAGCCAGAAAAACACACGGCCACACTTACAAAGACCCTCTTCTCCAATAGTAGGAGGGAAAACTGCTGAGAGAAGCACAAAGTGAGTTGAATTCACAGCCCTGGTGAGGATACTACACTAATGTCAGAGCCTTATGAGAGAAGATTGGTCACTGAAACTTGAAATGAAGACTTTCTGGGGGTATTTTAGTATTTTAGGAGGAACAGGATTATTTACCAAAAGTGGTACAGAATCTCTGTACAGTAGAAACTAGCAGAAGATGCTTGAAACTTAATGGTAATAATGCTAGCGGGATGGCGCAGAGTATAAAGCAGGGTAAGGGAGAATTTATTTATACGGGGCACTCTCCTGAGATTCAAGATTAAGGTGCTGGCAAAGATCCTTCAAGATGGTCCTAACATTCTGTTGGAATAGTTTCTTTGCACTTGGAAAAAATCACCCATGGTAAATAAGATAGATTTGCCAGAACCTTAAGTTTTACAGAAAGTATTAAGAGTCTTGGTCATACGTATTAGAAAGTCTTTACTATGTAATACTAGAGAATCAGCCAGCTGACTTTGTTCTTTTGTGGAGCTCAGTGGGCACTCCTTCCTGTAAAGAGGGAGGGGGCGTGATAGAGAAGGACACATCAGTATTGTTCAGAAATAGCGGTTATTTAATGACAGGGAATGTTGTTTTGGAACTGGGTTCCCTACTATCAATGAGAATGGTGGGAACCTATAATTTTAGAGGCCATGTAAACATTCAAAATCTTTTCTTCTAGCTTTTTGAAAATGTGTACTAAATTTTGTTAACCATTTTCACCCTACAGTGCTACAGACCACTAGAGCACATTCCTGTCATCTAGCTGAACTTCCTATCAGTTATGAGAGATATGGATACAGCTATTGTAATAGGCATTAAGGTCAGACTGACAACAAGGATCTTCAGAAAATCAGAGCCTAGTGCTTTAGGGGTAGGAAGCATGAATTCCTAAGAATATAATTGAAAGTGATATAATGCCTTCAATAGAATATCATCCGTTAGTGACCAGTCAGTCTCTTGGTAGCAAGTTGATTGCATTCAACCTCCTATATACTCTGAAAAGACAATTCATCTCATTGGTATTGTAAAGTATTTACAATAAGGGTAGTTTTTCTGCCTAAAATACTTCAACCACCACCAAAGTCCAGGGATTCACAGAATATTGGATTTGTTGTCTTGAGATTATATATGGGGTTGCCTTCACTTTCTGTTGAAAAATTTATGACAATAGGAACTTGACCATGGATTTACTAATCCCATCATGAACTGCACGCTTCGAAAGCTGCCAGCCAGACAGAATTTTGGAATTGCTTCGTAGAGGCAGAGTTAGGGTTCTGACTTGGGCATGAGAACTCTGAGAATCTAGAACACTGTGCTTCAAAACAGGTAGAAAGCACAGGGCCAGAAACCAAGGGGTGAAGATAGGAGTGATGTATTTCACTTCCAGTTACTCTTTTGAGAATTTGTGCTTCCCATCCCTGCAACTCTAGGCTCTGCTGAACTAGATGTCCTGGTTCCAGGGATGCAGGAGGTAGGCTTATATCAAGGAGCATAGAATAATTTCCACTAACCCTAGATCTGTTACTGCCACCTGGTAATTTTAGTCTCCTAATACTAGTATACAGGCAAAGAAGAACATTACTAGACTGAGTAACTGTCGCTTATTAGCATTAGGAGATAGGGTTATTTTTATGTAATAGGTTTAGGAAAGCGTACGTCAGGAACTCAGAAAATTTATGAGCACACTTCTTTAGGTGTCTGTAGTAGTCCATTCTCACATTGCTATAAAGAAATACCTAAGAGTGGGTAATTTATAAAGGAAAGAGGTTTAACTGATCCACAGTTTTGCAGGCTGTACAGGAAGAATGATGCTGTCATATGTTTGGCTTCTGGGGAGGCCTCAAGAAACTCACAACCATGGTGGAAGGTGAAGAAAAACAGGCATGTCACATGGCCGGAGCAGGAACAAAAGAGTGTTGGGGGAGGCGCTACACATTTTTAAATGATCGGGTCTCAGGAGGACTCACTCACTATCATGAGGACAGTACCAAGCCGGGGTTGGTGCTAAACCATTTATGAGAAATCTGCTGCTAGGATCCAATCACCTTCCTTCCCCCCAGGCCCACCTCCAATATTGGGGATTATATTTTAATATGAAATTTGGACATGAACATACATGCAAACTACATCAGTGACCATACCGAGTGATAAGTGTTTTAGGAACTATAGCCCCAGAAATGAAGGTATGAGTTGCCCCATGAACAAAAAGCAGCAAGAGTGAGTGGAACTCAGAGTGAAAGGCAGAAGGAAGTAATGAATATCAACTACAACATTACTAACAGTACAGTACAGTAATTAGTAACCCCAGCTATGGAACTATAACTTTTCTTCTAAGTCTTCTACTGTACACTTCTTTATTAGAAACTGGGACATGCTACCATATTGAAAAATCAGAGTCAGGAATAGAGGGTATTTAGAGAGTATTTAACTTGAGTCATGAGTCACTTGACTAATATAAATGGTGGATTCTAGCACATGCTGTTGGTGCCGTGCCCGTATGTGCTTAATACTAACATCCTCCCCTGGAGGCTGCTTACCATGATCAGCTGTGACCCTCTGCCTGACATGTTTTTTATTCTCCCATGGTAGCATGGCAATCCAGTGTGCAAAGGAAGGTAATTAAAGCTAGAGAGTAAATGTCTCGAAAATAGTGCTCACCCTAGCATTGATAGATGATAAATGGTAAACAAATACTCCAGCTTCTTTGCCTCTCCATGTGGATAACTCTGAGACATATTCTACCCTGCCTTTTAGAGTTCTTCAGTAGGGTTGAGCTCCAGCTATACATTGCAACTTTCTGGATAATGCCTCTTCATTGACTTGTATCCCTGCTTTATAGATTCATGCTCTCAATTAAATAGCCTCAGATGAGTGGTAACAACTAAAATCTAAATTAATCAATTATTTTTATTTTTTGTGGCAACAAGTGATTTTTTTTCTCTCCCAGTTTTACCTGTTAGGCTAACAGTGTTACGTAATTTTTAATGGCTATTTCTATTTTCTCTCAAATATTTTCAAACTGTCTAGAAGTAATGTAACAGTAAGATTTTTATCACCACAACTGGTGGATACCTGGATCACTCCATTGCACATTTGTTAATACTTCTTAACTCTCCATGGATATTTCCTGGCATCATGTCAGAAATAAAATATTTCACTGGAGTCCTTGGCCCAGAGTCTGCCTCTTTGGAATCCCAGACCAAGAAACATATCTAATGAAAGGTAGATAACAAGATGATGCCTGACCTCTATCAGTTAGATATGGGTTCATCTGTAAGTAATAGAAACCATACAAATGAAGGCTTAAATACACAATGCGTTGTGTGATATTACAACAAATTTGAAAGTCTTCAACCCAGGGCTGTCACTAACTCTCAATTATGCCCACAAGGACCCAGACTCTTCCTCAGGCCTCCAAATACACGTTCTTTTGCCTCATGTCGCAAGAAGGCTGCCATATTTCTAGGCCTCACATCATTTTCCAGGCAGGAGGGAGTAGGAAGTGTTAAAGGGAAGAGACAGAATCAGCAGACTTATGCTTCTCAGTGAGAACATATCCTACAAAAGGAATTTTGGAAAGTTGGAGTGTGAGCACTTGAGTTTATAGCTTTGTAGGCTCCATAGTAAAGGTCTGGAGAGACAGGATGAAAATAGGGGCTTAATCTATCAACCCACGGTGTATTATACGAATAAGCAGAATCAGAATTAAAAAAAAAATCTAAGTTCTAATTCAAATACCTTTTTCATTTTCCAAAGGAAAATTATAAATAGAAAGATTACAATGTTAGGCTATAATATTGGAGTATTTTTAAAGCAATATAATATTGGAGTAAAACAATATAATATTGGAGTATTTCTAAAACAAAAGCATTTGAAGTAATTCACTGGATTTAGTTGTAAGGATTCACATGTTCTAATTATTAGTTCAAAAAGTATATATTAACGTATATAAAAGTATATATTATGTACCCTCCATGACATGACAGACGAGATTTCTGTTCTTCTTAAATGTCCATTCTGTGCGTTAACTCACTCAAACTGCCTGATTTGAAACAGAGTACCTGATGTTAACTTCGTCTTCCTTTGGACCATAAAAAATAAAATTACATCATAAAAATTTGCAATAATGTTTTTGTTATGATTGTAAGAATATTTTCACCCTCTTAATCACTGGAAAAACATCAATTTGTTTTTCTGATTCTTAAGTTTTATCAAGAAATTCCAAATAATTTCAGAAACATTATTTCTAAGTACAAAGATATCCAGAAACTTTAGCCTCAAAAACTGTAAATTGTTGAAAATTGTTAAAGCCCTAAATATTTTTAAAAAGCCAAGAATCAGGAAATACCTTTTCCTGTTCATAGCCTTGAGCCACTAGCTAGATCCCCCACAGGCAATTGTTTGCCTTCTCTTGCATCTCTGCTTTGTAGAGTCATGCTTCCAATTAAATAGTCTCAGATGAGTGCTGACAACTAAAATCTGAAGCATTCAATTATTTTTATTCTTTGTGGCAGCGAATGGTTTTTTCTCTGCCAGTTTTGTCTGTTAGGCTAACAGTCTTACATATTTTTTAATTGCTGTTTCTATTTGCTCTCATATATTTTCAAACAGCCTAGAAGTAATGTAACAGCAAGATTTTTAACACCACAACTGGTGGACACCTGGGTCACTCCATTGCACATTTAGGACATTTAGGGAAATTTCCCAAGCTGTAGCAAAGCTATTTCTGTGTGCTCACTCATTTCAGTCTGCAGCTTTTCTGAAGACCTTACATACATATATATATATATATTTCCCCCCCCCCCCGGGACATTTTTAATTTTTAAATACATAAAATTTTAAAACCAAATTAAGTACAAAGTTATTAATAATATAGAATTTTATAATGACTTTTATTTTAGCAAGGACAGCATTTTTTTCTAATTGTGTCAATAGAATATTCAAAATATATACTAAAATCATGAATAAATATTACTTCTGACAGTTTAACTTCTTAATCAATTCCAATAGTTAAAATTGATATTTTATATTTTTTGCATCCTTGATTTTTTTAAAATGTTAGTTTTATAGAAGTTTGAAGGAAAATACATAAATTGAACATATGGTGGCCTTAACTGGTAGATTCATATGGGTCAGAATCTGGTTCTTATCTTTCTTTTCAAGTATGTAGAAATTTAAACTTGTCGATGTCCAGGCTCCAATGAGGAAAAGCTAGTTTCTATGGACTAAATTCAGAGACCAGAATATATAAACTAGAAAATGGAATATATACCCTGGAATATATAAACCCATTAAAAGAGGTGTGCTGAGCTACTATTTGGCCTAATGAGAACTTTTTATCACTACAGGAAGGCAGCATGAAAACCAGGCTATCAAAAGCTTCTTGGAGAGCATAGAATATGAATAGGGAATTTAGTTATATGACATGAATATTTATTGACAACATATTGTGAATGCGCTATTGACAGAAATACCTATAGAGATGCTTTTGAAAATTTGAGACAAATATTTCATTGCTGAAATTACTGGGTTACGCTACTAGTAATTGGGAAAAAGCAGGGATTCTAGAAATTCTGAAATTTAAGGGTGAGTCCACATAATGTATTTTCCTTCATTTTTCATGATTTTCAAACGCTCCATTGGACACTCGTTAAAAAAAAAAGACAACTCATCTGTTGCAGTGGCTCATGTCAGTAATCCCAGCACTTTGGGATGCTGAGGCCAAATCACTTGAGCCTAGGAGTTTGAGACCAGCCTGTTCCTGTTTCTACAAAAAATTTAAAAAAATTAGCTGGGTGTGGTGCTACATGCCTGTGGATCTAGCTGCTTGAGAGGCTGAGGTAGGAGGATTACTTGGATGAGGCTGCAGTGAACTGTGATCACATCACAGAATACCAGCCTGGGCAATAGAGTGAGACCCTGTCTCAAAAAAAGTAAAATAGGAAAAAAATCAAGTCTGTGCATATAATCTAATTATAATTTATGTATTAGATCAAAGTGTTTTTTTCCTTCTTGATTTTAATATACAGTGAATAATCCTGACATAAAACTAAAATATAAATCATGGGAAGAGTTTACCTTGTTGTATTCAAAACTTTACCAAAAGTTATTTAAAATGATAGACTGGATAAAGAAAATGTGGCACATACACACCATGGAATACTATGCAGCCATAAAAAAGGATGAGTTCATGTCCTTTGCAGGGACATGGATGAAGCTGGAAACCATCATTCTCGGCAAACTAACTCAAGAACAGAAAAACCAAACACCTCATGTTCTCACTCAGAAGTGGGAGTTGAACAATGAGAACACATGGACACAGGAGGGGAACATCACACACTGGGGCCTGTCGGGAGTAGGGGGCTAGGGGAGGGATAGCATTAGGAGAAATACCTAATGCAGACGACCGGTTGATGGGTGCAGCAAACTGCCACAGCACATGTATACCTACGTAACAAACCTCCACATTCTGTACATGTACCCCAGAACTTAAAGTATAATAATAAAAAATAATAAAAAAAGAAAAAAGAAAAGCATGTTACTGATGGCTATGCTTTGTGTCACCTACCTAAGTTACATACATTATTCAAAATGTGGTTGTCCCTTGAAATTATTTAACATATTTGAAACTCTTTTTAATATATTTAGAAACAATATTATTAAATTTGCAAGCACAAAAGAAGTGCAAACATTTATATAATTTTGTTACCAATGCCAGCTTAAAAATAATTTATATTGCCATTCTATACATTGCCATTATTTATATTTTTAATGCAGCAATGAAAACAATCTATGCTTTAAAAATAAAAATCAAAATTAGTTATAAATCTCTTTTGGTTTTATTCTACCTCTTCCTCATGTCTATCCACAACTTTTCTATAACCTCTTATATTATGGTTTATTCGTCCAATTCACCCTCCCATTATCTATTGAAAGTTACAGTTTCCAAAGTATAAGATACTTCCTAGATGAGATGGGGTTTCAAATTAGAATATCATATTGCTAAATTTTCTCCATAGTAATGGTCTATAATTTGTCTTGGCATATTCTCCCACTTTAATTAATGTTATTTACATTTTCTCGTAAACAAAAATAAGTCCACTGTATTATTGCTTATCATCACATCATTTTGTCTTTTAGTGCTCAACTGTACTTTCATTTTCTTGTCATTTATGTATCAAATGCCTCCTGATTTTACTTCACTTAAACCCGGACATTTATTTAAAAAGGAGGTGTTAGCATTAGTCAACTTCTGAAATCTGGTGTAGTTACATCTGCATATTGTATATTAATAATTTCTTATTTTGAATATTAGTAATTTCATCTTCTAGACTATTATGTCTACACACATATAAATTTACAGACACAGAATAGTTCTATTAGCTAAAAATTTTATTTCCAATTATGCTATAGGACAAAGTTTAGCAACAGAAATCAATTGCTGGGTCTGTTAAGATTGAGAGCCACTGGCCTCAAGCATACTGCTTCTCAGTTTTTAACTACTGATCTAGCACAGTAAACTTAGATATCAATCCTTTCCAGCACCGTCTCTCATGAACACTGTAAATAGGACATTGAGAACATTGAAAAAATAGATAGATAGATAGATAGGTAGATAGATAGATAGATAGATGAACACTGTAAATAGGGCATTGAGAACATTGAAAAAATAGATGGATGGATGGATAGATAGATAGATAGATAGATCGATCGATCTGTGGCAACGAACCAAAAGAGAACAAAAGTGAACACATTCTTTCTTTAGCTATTTAAATACTATCCATCCTATTACAGTCATGTCTAGGCACTCTTAGCCTTTAATAATCTAATTTAATAATACCTGTCTTTGATTTGTAAAGTAAAGGTATCAGTGGGCAACATATTTTTATTATTTGAATGTTTAAGGAGAACACTGTGCTGTCACCTTCATTTACAAACTACAAATAAATTTTATTCATTTCTCATGTGTTCTACTTGAACCTTCTTTTAAATCTGTCATCCTTCCCATCTCCTCCATGAAAAAAAAAATCATTCCTTCCACAATTAAAGAAAATCACCATTAAGTTGAAAATACCCTAACCTGCCTCTTCAGGAACATTTTGATGTACTCCTATGTTTTGTCTGAAAGTCTAAGGATGAAGGTTGGTGAGCAAGCAAGGTGTGATGACATAAGCAGAACAAACTACATAAAGGGAAATACATTGTTACCTTTGCATTCAAGGTCAATTGTATTTAAATTTAATTTAGTATTTCATGCGAACATATGGATCTCTAACTTCTTTAGTTTGATGTTTGAATTCCCTCATTCCACAAATTTTTATTGCACATATATTGCATTTTTGAAAATGATTCTTAGGATCCCTTTGAGGCATAAAATTCTGTAATTCCATATATATAAAATATCTGCCTTTTATAGTATACAAATTGATTTCTAATAGGCTATAATTGTTTCACACAGATCATCCAAAGTCCAGCTACCACAATATGTCTGGATTGAATCTTAAGGATTCTTCCTGTTATTCATGTAAGTACACAGCATGTATGTAGGTGTAAGCAATACTGTATGCATACAGCCAATTGTACAGTAAAATATACACACAATTTATATACATGAAAATATAATTACAAAAATATGTTTTCATCTAAATTGTAAGTGAAACAGCTTATTTAATATGAATTAAATGATTTCAGAATCAATAGTTTTTCTGGGAAAAATATACTTTTAAAATCGTTTCAAAATGTGTTTGAAGGCTCTGGTGTTCTTTCAAACGTGAAGAACACACAGCACACACAAATCAGTCAGTTTTATTAGCCAAGGAACTTCTAATGCCTGAACTGCCCTAAAAATTAACCTATTGTCATTGTATACACATCCGCACAATCGAACTAAAATTTCCACCGGAATTAGTTGATTAGTGTTGGTTGAATTAGTCCCTCCATTTCATTTGTGGTAGCAGGCACATTTTCCTGTATGCTGTGTGATTGACAGACTTAGTTGATGGAACAAGGAGCAACCAGTCCTCTTACATCTCTTTAGCCTGAGGCATCCTCACTTCCCATCTCCATGCTGTTTCTTTTTTTGGGGTTAGGGGGAGACCTGCTTCCCAGAATGCTCATGATGTTCACTAATAATATCAGGAGCTTGAAACCCTCTTTCTACATTCCCTTCTCTCAGGGGAGCACTATGATTTACACACCTTGTGCCTTGAAGGACTGGAAGAGAGATAGAGAGAGAGAGAGAGAGAGTGAGAATGAGAATGGAATGCTGTATGTTCATTAATGAGGTTATTCCAGTTTTAGAGTCCCTGTGGCAGGCAGAATTTGAGGAAGGAGAAAAGGAGAAAGCTTAGTTGTAATATAGTGCCTGACAAATGACAAGCACTCAACAAGTAGGTTGATAAATCACAGGTTGCTTAGGTCACATTTACAAATATCGGTGTTCTCTTGGAAAAGACCTCTTAAACACCAACAATACTTAAATACTACCCTACATTGGGATGACTCCAAAAAACGTCAAAGCCCACAGTAAATACTCTCTTTGCATTAATAAGGAGGGAAGCTGCAACAAGTAGCAGGCATCCAAATCTCAATTAGGCTTCTAATGTGCTTGACTTGCCTTGTGATTGAGAGTTTGAAAACCTCAGGAGAGGAAGAAAAATGGTTTATGTAATTTCCATTGGCCTTCACTGCAGCCACATAGGTTGCCATCTAAATCAACTCGCTGTTGGCAGTCGCTGAGACCAGCAGTGGATTGACTGTATTCAGACGTATGTGTCATGTTATGGCAATGGAATTAAGGGAACAATATACCCTGGCAATTGTAATAGACTTTTGCATTAAAGTCAAGAACACACAACGCTCTATTACATCCCTGAAAGTATTTACAAATGACTTAAGTTGGAACACATTATTCTTTCCACAAAATGCAATAAATGTTATTTCATCATGTCTTGTAAGATTTTACAACCTTCAAAAGCGTTAATGTCCAATGGTTGATTGGTTTTATGCTTTTGCTGGCCAACTCATATTTTTTAGGTCTAATAATTTTCAGGGGCAGTGCTGAGATTTCAGAGCATAAAGTATTTTTAAGATAGGAAAAGAAAGATAAAGATCCAAAAGGAAGTTTGCCAAAAAACATATATTGTCTATTTCACCAGAGACATCTCGCCAGTGTGACACAAAAGAAAAATACCCCATATTGGTGTATTGTTTCAAGGCATATATAATCATAATGCCACATCTAACTCCCCTTTCCCTGATCTTGATATGTTAGCAACGTTCCAGTCAATAAGTTACTGAAGGACCGTTTCATTACCCGGCATTAGCCTCAGAGGTAGCAGAAGATGCTGTCCTCTATTTTGAGGGGAACATGAGATAGATCCAAGGACATTAATTTGATGGTGAAACATTTCACCCAAGTTCTTCCAACAAAATGGGCAACGCACCATGTCATTACCTGTTGCCTGAAAAAGAGATAAAAACTCTCCAAAATGACTCTTCTTCCACCTCAACAATCTAACTCCCAACAAATTACACTGCTATAAAAAGAATGACTAATTATGCTTCCACTAGGTACTATAAAGTGTCCAATTATGGGTCTAATTAGAAGGGAAGGGCATAAAGTAATGGGTCTTTATTTAGAAATGTTGTTATTCTCAGGACACCCTTTAAAGTGGTTTCTGTGTTTTGTTTTATGTATTACATTTATTCTACCTTTCTACAACGTGCTCAGATTTATCTCAATAGGACAGCATCTGTCACATCTTGCATATTGCTTTAATTTGATTGTCCCTGACCCCTTAGGCAAATACAGACAGGTGGAAAACATACTGGCTATTTCACACAACATCTGTAGTCACTTTAGCCAGTCTTTCTTTATGGCTTGTCACAGCATGGGGGGTTGAGGGGAGGGCTGCAGAAATGAAACTGCTTCCCTCTCATTGTAGCAAGGAGAGAAAAGCAGGTGGAATTCCACCCTCTGTTTGCTGGAACAGCTCTGTAATAATGCTTAGCATTTACAAATGCAGGCTGGGAACAGCTACCTGGATACTGGACCAGTTTTTAAAAGTTGGGGAAAAAGGGAGAAAAAATCAGCAATGGACAGGGTTCAATTAAGTCATTGTCTTTATTCTGTAACTTAAAGGAGTTTAATAAATGACCATACACAGAAACACACACACTCATACACACACTCACACACTCACACACACACTCACACATTGATGTACACAGTGTCTTTAGCAGCAATTTGATGTGATTAATGAGGCTGCTCTGGCATGTCTTGAGGACAGCGTATTAGTCACAGTTAATGACTCTTGCATAGCCGACTCAAAGAGCAATATATCCTTATTAAATGTTGCTATCATAAAGTTGGAATCGACTTCAAAATATTCTATGGTCAATGACCCTATTTCCAATATTGGTGAAGGGACACACCCCAAAATAGCTGGGATGGATAGACTTTTTAAAAGTTATAATTAAGCAAGACAAAACAAGAGTGTAGTTTCTCCAAATGCCCTTCATGACAGTTCTGGCCTATAATCATTATTTAAGCGAAGAAATCTTAACTTGCAAACGAATTTTTACTTTAATCCTTGTCAATTTCCTGTTGTGTAGACAACAATAGAAGCAGAGAAAAATTGCTCGGCTATCTTATATACACACTTAGTATACTTGGAGACGCTTGTTAAATGATCCTCTTGCCTTCTTTGCTATAAAATTTAAAAAGTTAATTTTGCTCCCGGGAATTAATTTTCATCTTTTAAAGTGAGTCTTTTATTATTGTTTAAAAAAATTTTTTTTGAACCTTCTAATTTAATGTCTCCAAAGTGTAGGGAGAAAGCTACCTCTATCATCTAGGGAAGAAATACCTAGTGTTCTTAAAAACTAAGATTCGCGGGCACCCTCATCTATCCAATCAGAATGTCTGTGGCTAAGGCCCAGACTCTGCATTTTAGCAGGAATCCTGAAAGACCCTTATGCATATGTTTGAGCATCAGCACTCTAGTTTCTCTTTAATTAAATCACCCAGCTATCTTTTCTGCAAGGCACAGAAAATATATTATCTCTAGCAGTAAACTTCAATTTCATCATATCACCTATTCTATATATCTAAGTTTAATCAAAAGTTAAACATGGCCCTTCCAATCTATTTATATCCCCTACAGCGATTCCTCAATTGTTCATCAACCATTTTTCTAAAAGTATTTCACCTTTTTCTTGTATGTTCTCCTAATTTGACTGTAAGGAGATTCCTATTAGTCTTGTCTTTTTCCTCAGGCCCCATATTTTCTATATTTCTTATTTCCTTTCCTTTACACACACCTTTTATACTTTTGAAATGACTTTTTTCCTCTTTCCTTTACATATCTTAGCTACCTGGCCTGTCTAAGTTAAGATCCATTTTATACCACGAGTTCTTTTAAACCGCACCAACCAATTGTGGCTGAGCAGTTACTGAGCTTATAATCAAATCACTATTTGATAGTCAATATTCTGTAACCTGAAAAAAGGACCTGCATTTCATGTGTGTTTATACTTAACTAATTTCTATAAATATATTCACTTATTCTTTTTATTGGCAAATAATAATTGTATATATTTATGGGGTAAAACATGATGCTTTGAGTTAATATTTAAATTATTCATAAATTTGTGTCATCACACCATTATGTTTTGATTTTCTGTTTTTCAAGTATTTAATATTTGGGGCCATATCCTATACAACTTTCTTAAAAGATCCCAGCATAATTATTTGCATACATTTCCCATCCAGTATAGACCCTTTGTCTATGTAGACCTTCTAGAGTATACACAAGATCTTCTAGAGTATACACCCACTGAGGAAATATCATCAAAATCAGTCTTACTTATTTAAAGGTTAAGATATCATTTTTATATTAACATTTCAGAACATGTTGTTTACAGCCACTCCTTCCCTTCCAGTTTCATCCTAGTCATTTTCTGCTTAATCTACTGCTTCCTGGTTTCAAGTCTTACCATTATCTCAACACCACTTTCCCAAAAACTGCCTAGATTTATACTAAACTTAAAATCTGATTCTTGGTCTTCAGTCTTTTTTTTTTTTTTTTTTTGAGTCTCACTCTTGTCACTCGGGCTGGAGTGCAACGGCGTGATCTTGGCTCACTGCAACCTCCGCCTCCCAGGTTCAAGCGATTCCGCTGCCTCAGCCTCCCAAGTAGCTGGGATTACAGGCGCCCATCACCATGCCCGGCTACCTGGCTAATTTTTTGCATTTTTAGTAGAAACGGGGTTTCACCATGTTGGCCAGGCTGGTCTTGAACCCCTGATCTCAGGTGATCCACCCGACTCGGCCTCCTAAAGTGCTGGGATTACAGGCGTGAGCCACTGTGCCTGACCGATCTTCAGTCATTTTTGATCACTTTTAATATTTACTGTCGGTGACCATCTTTAAATTTCACCTTAACTTTGCTTATGCTTTATTTCTGTACCTTGTATCTTGGCTTTGATTCTTCCATTTATTAGAGTCTGACTGCGGGTTTAACCCAATGTTGAGTGAGTTCCTACATTGTGTATGCTTTTTTCTCCACTCCCTTGGAGAGCAGGATATATTTCTGTGGTTCCTGTGAACATTTAACCAAAAAACTCCAGGTGTTTTCCTTCAGTTGTGGCCTTTCTCTTGCATTTCAAACCTGTAAGATATCTACACGTATAATTCTATAATTAATTATTATTATTTTTTGCCTTTTTTTCTATATTGCATGATGATTCCTCAATTCTATTATTTATTTTCTGATGGCCATTTATACTTGCAGGTGCTCAGACTCAAAACAGCTAAACCATAACTCATCAAACTCTGCTGCAAGTCAGTTCTCTCTCCATTCCTTTTTCACTGTAAAATCAACTGTCAATTACAAAGTCTCAGCTTCTAAATTTGAGGTTATTGGGACTTTCTCTCATCATCTAAAGAATTATCAGAAGTGATTGCTTTTTCCCATCAAAGTTTGAGTGGGTGATATGCACTCCCTGACTTGGTTGGGAATTTGGCAATCTATCTAACTGATACTCTTTAAATATATTATCATCAACATTCATGTGGTGGGATTAGGGGGCAACTCATTTCAAATTATTAAAAAAGTGTATGGAGAAAAAGATTCACATACTAATTCCCTTTCACTGTCCAAAGCAGCATCAATATTGTGTAAAATGGACAGTATTCTGCCACATGAATTTTCTCCTGTTACTTTCTAAAATAGACATTTTCTTAGAAATTTTCCTGAAGAATTTAAAATATAGAAGGTAAAATGAATTCTTTTGTTTCTGATACATCCTGTTCTATTAGTTTGAAGAAATTTAGCCAATGGTGATCACCAAATGTAAGCTGCTGTATCACATATATGTTACAACACATACATGTTAAAGCACTTCAGCCCATTCTTGTGCCTCCTCAAGTAAGTTTGAAAGTTTTTTTTAATTTGCATAAAGTGCTGTATAATTGATGGGACTAAATCAATGTACATTCTGTTAATTCAATGGTGTTTTTATGGATTGGTATCTTTGGAGAAAGTAATGTCTAAATTCTTTGCTTCTGACTGCTTTACCTTCCCAGAAACCACTTTCCATCTAATCATAGGATCTCAATTATCTTGTTTCGACTTGCTTCTTTATCTGGCCTTTATGTACACCAAATTCCCCTTTTCATTTTATTGCTGAAAGTTAAACCTCTGTCTCATTTTTCCTCAAACACAGATGTGTTAATTTCAGCACCTGGCCGTTATTTGTATTTCTCTGTCTGTTGGAATATCATCAAATATTTATTGAGCAAATTACTAAGAATACAGCCTTTTGAATTCGGATACAACTAGGATGAGATTTCATTCTATCAATTCAAGGCAGTTTGACCTTGCAATCATAATTCAGCCATTGAAAAATTCACTTTTTTTTCAGCTATGGCTTAGAAATAATGGTGAGTCCTATCTGATCACTGCTAGATAAGAGGATTAACTGATGTAACATTAGATGTAACAATTGTAACATCTCAATTATTTGCAAAATTACTGGTACAAATAAATACTGAGTAATTGTTGGCTCTTTATTAGTAATAGTAATGATTGGGTAATGGTAGTAGAGTAACCACAGTAATGTGCAAAGCATGCTGGATACAGGAAATACGGTGGAAAACACAGGAAAGATGTTTTCTCTCCTCTCATGGACTCTACAGATTAGAGAAGAAAAAAAAAGTAATCCAATATTTAGAATAAAGATTGTACTATACTATTACACAGCAAAGGAGCCAAACTAATTTTGACATCTGTAGAGTTCTCCCTGACAGAATGGGGCTATGAGATAAGGAAATATAAAAGGTAGTCAGGATAATGGTGGAGGTGAGGGAGAGAAAGGATGATAGGCAGAAAAGGCAGCATGCATGAGGGTCTAGAAGAAGAGGCAAATTTGGGGAAAGTAAACCGTCCTGCATCTCTAAAATGTAGCAAGCTGAAAACAAGGGAAATTGTCAAGAGATTAATTCACTGTTAGGTAGGATTCAGATCATGTGGGATTCTTTAGGCCTTATAAAAAACTTTCTACTCTATGCCGAAATCATTACAGAAAGATGTTAATCAACAGAGAGCCTTGATTGAATTTTTATTTTTGCATATTGTATGTTTCCTAGGGCTTCCCTAACAGATAATTACAAACCAGGGAGTTTAAGACAACAGAAAGGTATTCTTACATTTCTGGAAGCTGGAAGTCTGAAATCAAGGTGTTGGTAGGCAGGGCCATGATCTGAAGTCTCTAGGTGAAGATCTTTGCTTACCTCTCCCTAGCCTCTGTTGATTACTGGCAACCTTTAGTTGCCCCTTGGCTTATACACGCATCCAATTTCTGCCTCCATCATCACATGACCTTCTCACTATTGGTCCTCTATCTGCATTTCCCGCTTCCTAGAAAGACATCAGTCACTGAGTTAGGGCCCACTCTAATCTAGTACAGCCTCATACTGATTATTTTCAAGTAAGCTCACATGCACAGGTGTTGGGAGTCAGGACTTAAACATATCTTTTTAAGGAATGTAATTCAACCCACAACACTTATTATTATGGTTCTATTTTGGACACTTAATTCTAAGAGAATAATTAGAAGCAGAGGGGAGAGTTAGAAAGATTTAGCAGAAGTACAACAAATAAGAACAGTGGCCTGAACAAGCATTGTGTTCATGGGGAAAGGCATTTTCCAATTCAAAATTTGAATTCTGGAGGTAGGTTGTGCAAGAGTTGCTTATTGATAAATATGTTGGGAGAGGGGTGAGGGAGAGAAAGTTAATGTTGATGCATTATTTCATCATCAAGTTTCTTGCCTGGGCAAGTAGATGAATGGTACACTGAAAAGGGAAATAGTGAAGCGAAGCTGGTATGGGATATAATTGAAAGAGCCATCATTCCATTACTTCAGGTCCTTTTCTCTGTCTATAAGGTGCTAGGCAGCATATACAGAGGTGACTCTGACAGTTAAAGCCCTGCCCTCATGGAACTTATGGCTCTTGCTAGTCACATAGAAGTTGACATCTGCTTTAATAGGAATTCCATAACATTTTAGAATGTGAATCAAATATCTACTGCAGTCGTCAATGTTTTATAAAATTGCAGCTGCATCTGCTTTTATATCTGTTCATTCCCAGGCTCTTAATAGGATCCCTATCTCTTGGAGACTTTCCTGAGCAAAGATTTGTGTAATCTCTTGATATGGTAATTTTCTATTTCTAATTTAGTTGCCTATAAAATCAACCTTTGTATCACCTGACATTTACTATCTGTACTTCCCTTCTTTTTTGCTGTCTGTGTAAGTTTTTAACTCTAGTTGATCATTCTTTTCAACTGACTTTCTCATCTTTCCTCCCAGCTGGTTTGTTTGGATAAAAGTCTGCTTTGGTCCATGCAATGTGTCCAGTCTTTTACTCCCAGCCATGTGATCTTGTCTCTGCTGTTAGGTTCCTGGGCACGCTTCAGTTTGTACCATTATTTGTTGGTTACAGACTTTCTGCACCACAGCAGTGATTGAGGGTCTTTTCACAGTTCTGCCATTTTTCTCTCCAACATGTACACACAGTTGAGCATTCATAAATGTATTCATTCATCCATTCAACCATTTGTACACTCATTCTCTCATCAGATACACATTGATCTGCTGCTTCATTCCACTCATTGTACGAATTCTGGGTAATCAAAGACTAATGCGATGCAGTTCCTTTTTTAAGAGTTTAGAATGGAGATCCAGACAAGTCAACTGACGATACAAACCGTGTGATGAATGTGAAGGTTTAAGACAAGTGCACAGGTGGAGCACATATTGTAGACTGGCCAGGTGAATAGGAGACAAATCAGAAAAGGCTTCTCAGGGCAAGAGACAGATAAGCTGAATCATAGAGTTCTAGCAGAACTATCCATGAAAATCGTGCCAGTAGGAGGGTGAAGGTGGGAAGGGAAAAATTGAAGGGAAAGGGGCACAGGAGGAGAACATAGCAAATATAAACCTCAGGAGGTGAGAAAGAATATGGCCATTCTAAAATTGCAGAAGTGTGTGCTGTGTGTGCTGTGAAAAAGTGGGAGAAGAAAAAGATACGACCAGACTAGTAGGTAAGGCCTGGGTCAAGATTTATATGCTTGTCTGTCTTATCCTGACCTAATGCCTTATACGAAGGACTCATTGTCAGCTGTGTTTCCTGCATTGAAACTAAGTCCTGACATGTCTGTATTCCCTCATTGTTCTCTAACATCACTTATACAATTTCCTTCATTTTAATATCTGTACACATAGGTAAGTAGAGATGCGCTTTCATAGGTAGGCTTGTGCCAGGTCATGGGGCCCTGCAAATGCTATGTACCATGCCAAAGAGTCCGGCAGTTATTCTGTAGACAATAGTTAAGCAAGTTGTGTTTTGAATGCAGCTTGAATAAAATTACCATAGCAGTGTTTTAGAGGGTTGACACACTGAAATGTTTAATTGGTGAAAGGTGAGGTCAGTTGGGATGGGCCAGTTGAAGACCATCTCATGCAGTGATTGAGAACACGGACTCTGGGTAGATGTTGTGGGTTTGTATTGATAACCCAATTACTAGGAGTATAATTTGGGAAAGTAACCTTAGTTCTCTGTGCCTCAAAATAGAGATTATAATTGTGGTTGTGACTATGACAAAGCATAGTCGTGTGGATGAAATTAATGAAGACAAGTAAAGCACTTATAATATTGGACAATAATAAATTACTGTTATTGGACACAAAGAAGTCTTCAACTAATGTTACTTTATTATGTTACCAAAATAGATCTTGATCATAGAGATCCATGGTAGTAAAGCAATGATTCATTTAAAAATAAATCCTCCAAAGCTGTATTTACGTAGTCAGAGTCCATATAATGCTAGTAAATTAAAATAACTGTTAGTTTTTCATTATTCCTAAGGCTGCCATTACAAACTACCAAAACCTGGGTGATTTAGAACAACAGGAATGTATTCTCACATTCTGTTGTAGCCTCACATTTCTGGAGGCTAGAAGTCCAAAGCAAGGTGTTGGCAGAGCCATGCTTCTACTGCAGCCTGTAAGAGAAAGTCCTTATTCGGCTCTTCCAGCTTCTGGTATCCTCAGATCGTCCTGGGTTTGTGTCCAATAGTCACATGTCATTCTTCCTATGTCTCTTTGCATAGACTCCCTCTATACATGTCTGTGTCCAAATTTTTCTTTTCTTTTTTTCCTTTTTTTTAAAAAAAATAAAAACACCTGTTATATTGGATTAGGATCCATTCTAATAACCTAATCTTCACTTGATTACATCTACAAAGACCCTGTTTTCAAAAGGGATCACATTCTGTGTTACTGGAGATTGGGACTTCAACATATCTTTTTCAGGGTAATACAATTCAATCCATAACATCACGTGTGCAATGATTGTAAAATATTAAAATTTCTAAAATGTTACCAGTGAGGCTGAGTTTTAGCAAGTAAACAGTATTGCCACTAACCAAAATTAGTAACATGGGCTTTATTTTCAATATTTGGTCAAGGACCTAGAATCAGTCAACAGGGCAATATGTTTTAAATAAGGAAGTAGTAAAGAAAACTAGTGAACTTATTTTTTCTTATTGAGAAATAAAACAAATTTGATTTGTGATTCATTATTCAAATAGTGAAACCAGAGTACCGCAACAGGATTTTGCAATGTCATTTGGTAGAAATGAAACATAAAAAATATGATAGAGAAAAATACTAGATCTGAAATGGGTATGAGAATTCTTAGTAACACCTTGCACTTCAGAGAATTAACATTGTGAGCTGCTTTTCCATGAGGAACACTTTTATATCTAATATAACACATTAGGGAAGAGTAGCAGGCCATACATTCATCACATTCCCCCCCCCACCCCACACACAAATAATGTAGTGTTACTTGTACATTAATCCCCATTTTTCACATTAAAACTCCATTGCTGAAAACCAGAGTAGGGAAACAGTAACTGGAAATTAGAAAAATAAATTTATAATAATATTTAACACTTTTATGCCTAATAATAGATCAGAAAAAAAGTCTCACTTTTGAATTTGGAAGGTGTGTAGAACAAGGAGGGAAGTAATTGAGTTTTAGATATTTATTAGGACATGCAAATAATGAATAATAGACTCATTGGAAAATAATTTAAGAAATTGGAGTAGTAAGTTTTAAGAGATTAAAGAACTAAATAAACAAGATTTTCATTTTGCTTGTACTGCATTAAACTCATTGATTTTTTTTTTACATATGGGAAAGGGGTGGAAAAATTGAAAATAAAAATATTAATGACAATTTTATCAGCTAATAATCCAGTTTTACTTTATATAAAATAAACAACTCTGAGAGATGGTCAGTAGTAGATAATTAACAGGACCAAAATTTTTTGACGTCATTAAATCATATATTGAGGATTATCTGAAGAATGATGATGGATGAAAAAAATTAAAATATTTCATGAAAAGAATTAGAGATAAGATGGATGAGGAAGTATTACTAACCTTGCTCTTTCAAATAAAAAAATAAGATTATAACCAAAATATGCAATCCTCAGAACGTAGACTTTAGGAAAATTTATTACTCAAAAATTAAATATTGGCTGCCAGCAAATTGATTTATTATCAGAAATAATGTTACATATCAGGAACAAATGAAAAAGAGAGAAGGGAATAAAAATTTCATGGGTACCTGCTAGGTGAGGCACTTTGTATATGTTATCCAATTGAATTTTTATAAAAAAGAACTCTGTAAATTATTATTCCCGTTTGATATGTGAGGCAATGAAGGCAAAGAACACATAAGTAACCAGCCCATGGGTATAACTAGTGAGTGTGGAATCATTATTCACATATATTTTTTTTAAAGTCCAAGCCTTTCTCACACCAACATAAAGAATTCCCAAGGAAAAAAAAATTCTAAAATTGATAGACAACAATGTCACATTTTTTATTCAATTGAATTTCCGAAGGCCTAGTGGCTTTTGACAACAATTCCCCAAGGCAGCCCTTATTTGTTTTAGAAAATGCTGGTCGATGTCTTTGGAATAAAGTAGAGAAAATTAACATAGCAAATAACATGGAATAATACACTTTACCTGAAGATGTTCCTGAGAAAGTACAATTAGGTAATACCAGCATCTTCATTTCCACATATTATTGAAATGGCAAGTCCACAACTATGGCCATAATTCTGAGACTGGGCTCAAGGCCCTGCATTTGTTCCTGCTGAGCGGGACTGAGGATTTGTCACAGACTTTTCAGAGAAGCTGTCCAGCATTAATTGAGGTGCTAAACCCATTCCAGTCTAGTTCCTCCCATACATTCCAGCTTTCATTCTGTGGCTGTTTCATCAACCCCAGATTCCCATAATTCAGCTTTCTTTCTGTGGCTACTTCATCAACCCCAGAATCCCATAATTTAGGTTTTTCCTCTGAATCTCATTTCTGTATTCCTTTTTTTCCCCTTATTTGGATTTGCTTTTTCCCCCTATGATATTAGTCCCTGAGCTTAGGCTGCCCCTGCTTTATCCAGAAGGTTAAGTGGAAACAATTTAGGCAAAACACTTTAAAGGGAAATGACCTTATTTATACTCAAATGATTCCAATGAAAAATTCTATGGTTTTATTATTTTGTATATATCAAATGCAAATTTATTGGACTAAAATCAATAAGCAAAGAAATAAAAATAAAGAAATTGCAGCTAACATATTAACTATGATTAAATTGTTGTTCTAATGCCGTGAAACGAAAAGTTCATGAGGAACCTTTTAAGACAGTTTAAGTTAAAGCCCAAAGGATCAAGGTATGTAGCAATACAGATGAAAAAGCTTTCCCTAGAATTAATGGCAAATGCTTTTTTTCATAGTTCAAATAATGTAAGCACTTACATGATTTTGTATTATATTTTTACATATAAAATTAGTATGATGGCCAGTCTCTAAGATGTTCCCTAAAGATAGTTTTCCCTGAGAATTCATACCCATCTATTCATGCCAGGGCTGACTTGAGTTCCCAATAGAATAATGCAGAAATGATGACATATAACTTTCAAGACTAGGTTACAAGAGGCCTTGTAGCTTTTCCCTCGTTTTCGTGCATTGTTCAGCCTGGGGAGAGCCAGCTGCCATGCCATTAAAACACCAAAGTATCCCACATAGAGAGGAACCACCTTGGCAGTCTTCAGATGAAAATACCTTTGAAGTGGATCTGCCAGTTCCAGACAAGCCTTCCAGATGACTCAGCCCTGGCTAATATCAGACTGCAACCTCAGAGCCCCTGCTATGTTTCTGAATATTTGATCTCCAAAAAAAGTATTAGAGACAATAAATAATTATTGTAAGTTTAAGTCACTAAGTTTGGGGTGATTCGTTATGCAGTAATAGATAATTTAATACAATTAGATAAAGTGATACATCAACCAGACAAAAAGAGAAACATTCAGTTTGTTGCTTTTTCCAAAAGCAACATAAATCATCTACAATGGTTTCCTCTAAGGAAAATATTTGAGATTACTATACATAGTGGCTAACAATTATCAGTAATCAATGGGGAATAAAACAGAGACACAGTGTCATTCTGAAAAATCCTTTTCAAACTTTGATAGTTGGAATAGTGTTTTAGATTATCATATAAAAAACTTATAAAGCAATAAAATTCATTCATTTGTTTACAGTAAATATTAACTGAGCACAGTATGTGCTGGCCGCTTGTGTTTAGGTACTGGAGATGCAATAGCAAATAGCACAGCTTCCTCTATGAAATTCACAGTCAATGTATCAATACATTTTAATGTAGAATTAAAATTAAATAGGCTCTCTTATTTGCATTTTTATCTTCTCATGTAACACATAAAAATCTATATTTTCTTTAGTTTTATATTAGTCATTGAAAAGTTTCCTCTCAATTCCATGGTTCTGATGAAGGGCCAGCTGGTTTCTCAGTAATACTGAGAGAAGAAAGAAAATAACAATTGTAAAATTACTCTGTTTTTTAGAGAAATTATGGCGTTATGATTGTGCTTTTTTCATTCATTTATTCATTCATTCTGGAAGCATTTATCAAATATCATCTATGTATCTTTAAGCCTTTAAGTATATTTTCATATTACAGAATATTAAAAGGACAAAATACTGACAACTTTTTTATCATCAAAAAAGTTTAAAACATTTATTATGCTCTGTTTTTAAAATCTGTGACAGATAAAATAATTCAATGTTTTTATTGAAAATTTAAAAAGTAATTTTAAACGTTTTAGCATGTGGTTGATAGGTACAGCAGACCACCATGGCACACATATACCTATGTAACAAACCTACACGTTCTGCACATATATCCCGGAATTTAAAGTAAAATAAAAAAAAAAAGTTTCAGCATTTAATGAGATCACAAGAGAAATCAGATGCTATTATGTTCTTTTATTTTAAAATGTATGTTTATTTGAGAGGGAAACACAGTAGATTAGAAGTATTTTGGGGGTTAATATTTTACTTTCTGTGAAGTAATAATTAGAAAAAGGATACTAAGAAGCCTGGAATATAGTGGTCAGTCAATAATGCATTTTATAATAATTATATTTTGGCTTTACAAATAGGTAGCCAATATTTACCTCTTAATTAAAAATTAATGCATAAATTACTATTATGGATTTCTGGTTTTTCTTTGAAAGATATATGCATATAGATACATGTATATATGCCTTTTGGGTTGTGCTATGTGTTTGAATATAGATGTATTTCAAGCATGAATTATATTATCTGAAAAGAGCCTTCATTAGAAGAGAAATTATTTCTAAAAAGTTTTTTTCTCCTTAACACTCATCCAACTTAATTTGAAACAATTCAAACCCAAACAAAAGAATAATTCAGAGTTCACTTCCAGGCTTATAGTTAATTAACAATTTCAATAAAGAAGTGGTTTATTAGGTGTCTCACTCAAGTGCTTTAGGCTAATACCAGAAACAAAAAAGTTAAATTATAGTCAAAGTGGAACAAAATTTCAAAAAATTCTGTTTAGTGTATCTCTTTGCTTTCCTAGGAACCCTGAAATCGTTACTTTTCAGCACAGTGAACTTAATGACATGCTTTTTCTTTCCCTGGTGACTTCCTATAGCTTAATTAGCTGATTCAGGTCAACTACCTGGTTCATCAATTTTTGAGCATCTGAGACTTAGTGTTAAATTCCCTTTTGAGAAATGAATTCCCATCACAAGGGCTTTGTGGGTGTGTATGTATGGGAAAATAATTTTGAGCAATTAGGAATTAATGATGACCTTGCAGGGGATAGAAGAGGACATAATCATAAAAGTTGAACAGACATCACTGGGAGTGAGTAATGCACTACCATTAGCATAATTGGCTAGCGTTAAAATGGAGATACCTACAATTATTAAGGTTTAGAAACTTTGAGGAAATCAGGAGATACTGGAAGGTGCAACCTGAGATTTTACTCTTAGAAATCTCATCAGTGATAATTTGGAATTATATATAAATGAAATTGTTAGATTGGAATCTGGAGAATAATTCTAATGGAGCAAAAATAGAAAAATACACTGCAAATGAAAGTATCATGTAATATTGCTGTATGTCAGACACTTATTATTAAGAATAGGAATCTATACCTTGGGCTATGTGTTTAGACAACACCAGACAGCACCTCTTAACTGTGCGCTTAGAAAAATTGTCTCAAAAGTGAGTATAGGCCGGGCGCGGTGGCTCACTCCTGTAATCCCAGCACTTTGGGAGGCCGAGGCAGGTGGATCACCTGAGGTCAGGAGTTTGAGACCAGCCTGGCCAACATGGATAAACCCCGTCTCTACTAAAGGTACACAAATTAGCCAGGCATGGTGGTGGGCATGTGTAATCTCAGCTAATCAGGAGGCTGAGGCAGGAGAATTGCTTGAACCTGGGAAGTGGAGGTTGCAGTGAGCCAAAATGGCAACACTGTACTCCACCAGCCTGGGCTACAACAGTGAGGCTCTGTCTTAAAAAAAAAAAAAAAACCTGATTATAATATTTAGTACATCATAGGCTTATTGTAAGGAATGAATGATTTAATAATAGTATGTGCATGTCTTACTTATCTGTTGCAGGTAACAAGCCAAACTTAATGTCTTTGAATAATATTTTATTGTTTCTCATGCTCGTAGGCATTGACTGGGCTTGGCTGGGCAGCTCTCTTCTGAAGTTGTAATCGGATGTTGTCTGTGGTTGCTGTCATTTAAATGCTCAGATTGGCTGAATGTCCAACGTGGCTCACTGACATAGTTGGCAGGTAATGCTGATTGTCCTGTGGGCATTCAGCCCGTGGCTTGGGCAGAATCAGCTACATAATTTACGGAACCTACCTAGTGCAAAAGGAAAGTATGGAGTTTCTTGTTAAAATTATTAGGACGTTCGAGATAGTAACAGCACACGTTGCATGCTCATGAATCTGGCTCGGGGCTTGGACTTCTCACAGTAAAATGGTTGGGTTCTAAGAAGCATTCAAAGACCAAGCATTCTAAAAGGCCCAAATAGAAGTTCTAAGGCTTTTCACAACCTAGTAGGTCACGATTCTAATTGTCAAAAGGAAATCACAAAGCCAGCTCAGGTTCGAGAGAGGGAAATTAGATGCTATCTCTTAATAGACAGCATGCTTGTCTAGGGAAAGAAATAACTGATGGCAGCCATAGTTGGAAATTACTACATGACCTTGAGGTTTTATTATAATTATTCAGGGAGATAACCCATGTTAGTTAGTTAGCAGAGTGCCTGTACTGTAAAAATGCTTATGTAACTGTTATCATCCCGGATTATAAATTTGGAAAAGAACCTATGTGCCATGACTTTGTAGATCTGCAGTCTATCTGCTTGAATTAAATACATGTTATCACATTTTATTTTTACTCTTCTATGAAATGTCTTACACAAATAGTTTTTAAGACACTAATATTTATTGCTGTTCAATTTTGTAATGACGAAAGCACATTCCCAAATTAATTATTAATTAGCTTAATGTTTCTCAATGATAATAGGCTTTCTCTTTTACCTAAAGGCATTCTTCAGAAATGGATAGTTTAGCTTTGATTTTTCTGCCTATTAAATAACCACTTGTAGTCTATTGTCTTGCTGTATTTATCACAGATGAGTGCAAAACAACAACAACAAAAAATAAATTGCTTTACTATAGTACCTTTTCCTTACACTTTGCCATAAACTGCCACATTCTCTGAATGCATCTCAGCTAGCGTGTAACTTGGGATTACAGGTTATAAAAGCTTTTTATAATCTTTAGTCATTTAACACTACCTAAATCTTATTTGATGGCTTTTCTTTTCAGTTTGTGCCAAAAGCAATATAACTTTTAAATTAGGAAGCAAACATCCTTTTACAAATAAGACACTGTTTCTGACATCCAAATTTTGTTGATAGGCACCAAGAATTTCTGGAAAACTTTGTGTGTAAAGATAGTTATAAGTGAAAAGAAATGCCAAATGATCATCCAGGACACAACAGAACAGTTTATTTTGTTGCGATAAAGACAAAAGAGGATGGTGAATTACAAAACTATGTTTATTCTATTGTGCAAGGCTCTTGGAATGTACTAAAAACACTTTTTAAGTCAGTGTTGCACAAATAATGTCAACCTGGATTGAAGGAGGCCATAAAGCTGAACCCAAGTAAATCTATGATTCCATTTTGAATAGATTACATTTTTTCTGACTTGATAAGCATTGTAGGCCTTCATATTCAGTTTACAAGAGTTTAGTCTTTCTGAAATTTGGCCCTTATTTGCTCTCAATTTATTCATTTATATATGTATTTCTTCCAGCATCTCATTTCACAGATGCCTTATATATCATAGATATCAAATATATTACTTTTTAAAATAATTTCAACTTTAAAATTAGATTCAGGGAGTAGGTATATAGGATTGTTACATGGGTATATTGAGTGATGGTGAAGTTTGAGGTATTATTGATCCTGTCACCCAGGTAGTGAGCATAGTATCCAAGAGTTTTTCAACCCTTGATCCCTTCTGTCCCTCCCTTATCCAGTAGTTCCCAGTGTCTGTTATTGCCATCTTTGTGCGTACCCAATGTTTAGCTTCCACTTTTAAGTGAGAACATGTGGTATTTGGTTTTCTGTTCCTGCATTAATTTGTTTGGATAATGGCCTCCAGTTGCTTCCAATGTTACTGTGAAGGACATGGTTTCATTCCTTTTTATGGCTGTGTAGTATTCCACAGCATATATTTACCACATTTTCTTTATCCAGTCCACCATTGATGGTCACCTAGGTTGCTGTCTTTGCTACTGTGAATACTGCTGCTGTGATGAATATGTGGGTCCCTGTTTCTTTTTGGCAGAACAATTTGTTTTCTTTTGGATCAATACCCAGTAATGGGATTGCTGGGTCAAATGGTAGTTCTGTTTTAAGTTCTTTGGAGTTCTTGAGCAATCTCCAACTGCTTTCTACAGTGGCTGAACTAATTTACATTCTCTGAGAAGTGTCTTTTCATGTCTTTTGCCCACTTTTTAATGGGGCTACTTGTTTTTCACTTGTTGAATTGTTTACGTTCCTTATGAATTCTAGATATTAGACCTTTGTCAGATGCATCGTTTGTAACTATTTTCTCCTATTCTGTAGGCTGTCTTAATCTGTTGATAATTTGTTTTGCTGTGCATAAGCTCATTCATTTAATTAGGTCCCAACTGTCAATTTTTGTTTTTGTTACAATTGCTTTTGAGGACTTGGTCTTAAATTCTTTCCCAAGGCCAGTGTTCAGAATGGTGTTTCCTAGGTTTTCTTCTAGAATTCTTATAATTGGAGGTCTTACATTGAAATCTTTAATTCATCTCACGTTAACTTTTGTATATGGTAAAAGGTAGGGGTCCAGTTTTTTTCTTCTGCATACTGCATATCGCTAGCCAGCTATCCCAGCACCATTTATTGAATGGGGAGTCCTTTCTCCATTGCTTATTTTTGTTGACATTGTCATGTTCACATGTTCAGAAGGCAGTAGGTGTGAGGCTTTATTTCTGGTCTCTCTATTCTGTTCCATTGATTTATGTCTCTGCTTTCGTACTAGTACTATGCTGTTTTGGTTATGGTATCTTTATAAGACAGTTTGAAGTCGGATAGTGTGATGCTTCCCTGGCTTTGTTCTTTTTACTTAGTATTGCTTTGGGTATTTGGCTCTTTTTTCATTCCATATGAATTTCAGAATAGATTTTTCTAATTCTGTGCAAAATGACATTGGTAGTTTGATAGAAATAGTATTAAATCTGTAGATTGCTTTGGGCACTATGGACATTATAACAACATTGATTTTTCCAATTTATGAGCATAGGATGTTTTTTCATTTGTTTGTGTCATCTGTGATTTTTTTTAGCAGTGTTTTTCAGTTCTTCTTGTAGAAATCTTTTATGGCCTTGGTTGAATGTATTCCTAGGTATTTCATTTTTTGGCTGTTGTAAATGGGATTATGTTCTTGATTTGGCTATCAGCTTGGACATTATTGACGTATATAAATGCTACTTTTTTTTGTACATTGATTTTGTATCCTGAAACTTTACCGAATTTGTTTATCAGCTCCAGGAGCCTTTGGCTTCTGGATTCTAGGTGTGGAATCTATGTGATTCTATATGATTCTAGGTATAGAGGCATGTTATTAGTGAAGAGTGATCGTTTGACTTCATGTTTTCCTATTTGGATGCCTTTTATTTCTTTCACTTGCTTGATTGCCCTGGCTGGGACTTCCAGCACTATGTGGAATAGGGGTGGTGAGAGTGGGCATCCTTGTCTTTTACTGGTTCTTTAGGGGAATGCTTCCAACCTTTGCCTGTTTAGGATGATGTTGGCTATGGGTTTGTCATAAGTGGCTTTTATTATTTTGAGGTAATTAACATTTTTTGATTGAAGTATAATATACATAAATTGCATATGCTGTAAGCACACATGGGAGTGAATTTTTAAACACATCTTTGTATCCAGCACCCAGAAGTTATTCATCTGATTCCTTCCTGTGACTAACCCAGTCCTTTCCCATCAAAGATAACCACTCTCCTAACTTCTGACTCCATACACTAGATTTCCTTATTTGTATATTTTATATAAATGAAATCAAATAGTATGGGATCTTTTGTGTGTGGCTTCTTTTGCTCAAATTCATATTTGTAAGATTTATCCACATTGTTGTGTGTTGTACTATAATCTATTCTCATTGCTCCATAATATTCTATTATGTGTTTATGCTTCAAGTTATTTATCTATTCTATCATTGCTAGGCATCTGGGTTGTTTCCAACTTGGAGCTTTTGTAAATAGTGCAATTATAAACATTCTCATACATATATTTTAGTGAATATCACAGCATAATTCTAGCAGAAGAACTGCTGGGTCATATATAGATGTGTGTATATATAATATAACATATATAGATGTGTGTATATATAATATATACACACAATATGTGTATATTATATATTATATATACACATATTGTGCATATAATATATATATAATATATGTACACATATGCAATATAATATATACATATATTATATATATTATATACATATTTACACATATACACATATACACAAACACACACATGTTTATATATGTAAACATATGTGTATATTTATACATATATACATGTTTAATAGATAGTAACAGTTTTTTAAGTGGCTGTACCCATGAAGACCGTCACCAATGATTTGTTAGAATTCTAGTGGCTCTACATTTTTGTAATTTTTGCATTTTTATCTCTTTAATCTTAGTCATTCTATCAGAGGGTAGCCCTAAAGACTAATAAGGTTAAGTGCCATTACATATGTTTATTGGTCTTTTGGTTTAATTGCTTTTGTGAAATGTGTTCACGTGTTCAAGTCATTTGCCTTTTTGTGCTTTGTGTGATGTAGGCCCAGTTGGGCATGCATTACTTACTAAAGAGAAAATCCATTCTCCACCGTGACACAGTGCCAACTTTGTCATGAAATTGGTGGCTGTTATTTTTAGATCTATCTCTGTATCCTCTATTCTGTTGAACTATTCTTGTACCAAATCTAATTTGTCTGAAATAACCGAAACACCATTTCCATTAAAATAACTTGAGTAACTTAGATTCTTTAAAAAGGAGAAAAAAAATTATGTTATTCTTTGTAAAAATAATACATTCTAGAATAGTTAGTATAAATTCAAATTTAACATATTGAATAATAAAAATGTCCAGCACTTTTCATTCATACATGAAACATATACTCCACTGCTTGAAAGATAATGTAACAATATGGCATCTATTTAATAATGTTCACTCAATAACTAGAGTATGCTAAACACCAGTAATAAAAATGGTGTTTTTAAGACATACCTTTTGTTTTCAGCATGTGTATAGAGGGAGATAGGCATATAAAGAAATCAAGCACATTATAAGGTGATATGCTATTTCTGTAAAATAAACATCTAATATTCCTGGGTTTGATGGGGATGAAGACATGTGAGCTGAAGTAAAATCTGAAGGAAATCTCAATGGCAGCTCTCCGAAGACTAGATGGAGGCCTTGAAAACTGAGATGGATTCATCCAGTTTACTGTCTTCTAGAACAATAAAATTATGGAACAACAGAGGGAAAAATTAAAGAGATTGAGGAAAGTGTAATGTAATGGACTTTTAAGCTAGTTAGTCCAGGAAGTGAACAGAAGAAACTGCTCATAGGAATAAAATAGAGGGGCCAAGGAATTGGAAATCCCTATGAGAAAAAAAAGAAAAATGCCATGGGAGATAAAGAGTAAGACAGCAGAAAAGATAGGAGGATGTGGATGGAGAACATAGTTCTTTAAATGCAAATTGTGTGTGGATGACTTATCTAAGATACTGATATAAGAGTGAAAGATTTCAGAGGAAATGAGGTCAAAGTCACTAACAATGAAAATTAATTGAAGAATTAAGGTATTAGTTGGGTCTTACTGATTCATGTTAAAGTAAATCAGGATAGTGGCGGAACATGGAGTGGGAGGAAACAGTGATTCTGGTACTAAGGTCTTCAGTGAATGAAAAGGAGAACAGGAATTGTTATTAAGTAGCTGAGGATATGAAGACTGTGTTATTACCCGACGTAATTAATTTCAGTGTCTCAGTGACTAAGAAATGGCCCGGCAGTGCATCCAAGAAGCAAGAATGGTGATCTTCTCATCTAAAAACTCTGGAATGTGTGTATTCTGTGGTAATGAGCATCTTCCAATTAAGAGGGCTACAGGGCAAATGGTGTCCTCAGGGAAAGCCAAGTTTCTGTTAGGCAGGAATGCAATGGGAAGATATTGAAGGTGACTGGGATTCCTAGAGGTGCAGTTAAAAAAAAAAAAAGTTTTAGAGGAAAAGACAGCAGTAGGAGCTAGATTGGCATCAGGGAAGGACATGCAGTACAGCAGAGGAAAGTTTAAGAAAAGAGCAGATAGATGAGCATGAAGGTATTTGTGAGGCACTATGGAATTAACAGACTTCAAGAATTTAAAAATACATGGACCCAGAAATCCCTTGGAAAAGATGAGTTCTGGTAGATATCCTTGGGACTGGTTGTCTCTTCTATAGATATTTTAAGTCTAGTGAACAGAATCCTTGATGAAAAAATGCATGAACTAATCTCAGAAATTATTTTATTCTGTAAGAAAAAAAACTAGGATTTAATTGGAAAAATAGATGGAAGGTAAGAAAAGAAGCTGATGGCAGGAAAATCAGTTGAAATAACTAGTAGCAATAATCTAAATAAGAGAAGAAAAAGATGATAGCAATTTGGATAGAAAGTAGAGGCCAGATTTTATAGACACTTCAGAGATAGAAACAAGATTTGTTCTTGAATATGGATATAGGATTAGATATGGGTAGTTAGAGAGAAGTTGTGGTTGAGGTTTACCTACTTCCCAGATTAGAAGTCTGAGTGGATGCCTTGCAAGTTGATTAACCAAAGATAATAGAGGAGTTAATGTATACTTAGGCTGAATATTATGGCTATCTCTTTTTTTATGCCTCCCCAACATCCATTATCTTTTATATGAAAACAATTCCATGTATCCATTGGAAATGGATCCTGCCTCCTTTCCACAGTCCATGTTTTAAATGTAGTTGACTCCATTGCCACTACCACAGGTGGCAAATCACAGTATGGGATATTCTTGGTATATATTGATACATTGGGAGGAGAGGATCTCTCTTTGGGTTTGGACCTGCTGAGGGGAAATGATGTAATTCTGAAGCTGCTGTGCATACTACAGAATGGAGCCAGAACAGAAGACAGCTGAACCCTGAGGTGAAAAACTGGATTATGATATTTGTTGGGAACCTCTTAATGAAATCGTTACTAAAGCTAATGAGTTCCTTGGAATTTTCTGATACACAGCCAAAATATTTATTCTCTCTTCTCTCCTTTTCTCCTCTCCTCTGAACTTTGTCATTTTTGTGTGTGATTTTAACAATAGAAAAGTTTTGACTAATGTAATTGAGAAGGAAGTATGGGGAAGTATTTTAATTTTTCATTAGAAATATTAAATTCTAGGTAGCTGTACTAAAATCTGATAAAGATGGCTAGTGGGCGATTAAAAATAGGCTCTAAAGCTCAGAAGAAAAGTCAGGGTCAGAGACAAAAGTAAAATGTATATAAAAGGTTCTTGAAGTCAGGGATTCAGAAAATTCATTCAGCATGAGCAAAGAGAATAAGACTCAGGGATATGATTTCAGTCCAAGGACAAGGTCACAGAAAAGGCTGGCATTCAGAGACTAAGGCATTGAGCAGGCAAAAAAAGCAGAAGGAATAGTAAGAGAGGCCGACAGCTGAGAAAGCCGATCATAACCGTATGGGTGGGAAGCAAATTTCTAAGGCCAAAGCACTTTTGAAATTCAGAAGAGTGCAATCAAAGCATCCTAGACAAACTGTTTCTGTGTAGGAACAACACAAGGAGCTGTCCTAGAATGTAAACCAACTCAGCACTCTGCTTAGCTCAGCTAACTTTTGTTTTGTAACAAGACTTTCTCTATGTGAAGGAAACAATGTGTACATTTGTGCTGTGGCACAGGCTTCTTATCTCAGACCTAGTAACAGTTTGTTGATCATACCTTGAGCAGCATTGATCTAGATCAAACTCTGTTGGTGATTATTCTGCAATATAATTAATTAGATCAGTTAACATCACTTATTGTCGGGAAGACAGATTGCAAATTATTTCAGTATTTTACATTAAATAAGATAGATTGCGAAGTTATTAAATTATTTCATGGAATGAAAATAGGAAATGAACTAGGCATATACAGACTAATAAGCCTGGAAGTGCTGTTGAGAAGCAAGAGAGTTGATCTCATCTATCAATCCTGGAATGAGCTCAATCTGTAGTAATGAGCATCTTCCGGTTGAAAGGGTTATATGGGAAATGGTATTCTCGGGGACTTTGTAATGAAGGGGTTTCCAGATTAATTTTGAAAAAAAAACTTAGTTAAAATAATTTTGCTAAAAGATTTTTACTTGGACTCTGATGTCTAAACCCCATCACCAGAGCTCTCTGTGGAGTAGAAGGGCTGAGGGTGGGAGGGGCAGAGAGTGGTCTGCTCAGGGACCACCTTTCCTCTGTGCTACTCCTTAAGGCGCCAAAAGGAGCCAGGGGTTTCACATGTCATAGTTTGAAAACCACTGGGGCAGACAATAAAAAGCAATTAGCTTTGAATTCTGCGTTGACACTTGACTCATGTACTTTTTGGCTCTGTGACCTGAAGAAAGCCACTTACGCTCCTTGAGGCTCAGTTTTCTAATCTATAAGACTGAGATAACAATAGCATTTTGAAAGAGTGGTTCTGATGATCTAATCCGTTGGTATAAGCGAAGGTGCCTTGTGTAGTTTTAAGGACCTGACAGAGCAGGTTAATCTTTCATTCAGAGAGGGCCTCTCCAGTTTTCCCCACAGGCCCACATGCCGCAGGGAACTCGGGCAGCAGAAACTGTGCCGCCTCAAGTTAGTGCTTGAATATCTCAAGTTTAATAGCTTCCCCAAACCTGGTTGCTTCCAGGCATGTGAATGAGCACCACTGTGTAGTGGAGTCTTGTCATCACGGGCAGGGACTTGCTACGGTGTCCGGGGGTCAGAGTCCATGCATGTTAACAGCACTATCAAGGGTACAACCTAAACCTTCAGTCTCAAAGGTCTGACATAAAAAGAAAGGAAATCTTTTTTTTTTCTTAGAAGTTTAATTCAGAACTCTAGACTTCTTGACACTCTTTTTGAGTCTCTAAGGGAGACTTGAACTTCCTATATAATTTCTTTCTTTTCTCACCTTACCTCCTTCTTCTTGCTTTTCCTCATCAGTTGCTCCCTCACTCCACATATTGATCTTGTATTTTAATGATGATTAGAAGTCATGCATATGTACAGTAGGTTTCTGGAAACTTAGAAACTGTACATACATCTTTTCTTACTTGTCATGTGTCCCTTTTGATTAAAAATGGCATTACCAAGTTTCCTCACTTTCCTCATTCCCTTTGTTCCAATTGACATTGAATTACAAAAGAAAAATCAGTTCCAACTTCAAACACTGAAGATGCCATATCCTCAGGAAAATGCAAAAGCTTGTGACTCATCTTTCAAAGGCAATCTTTAAACAAAAGTTGCAAAAGTACTTTGAGTAATGACAATAATGCTAAAGTAATAATTCCAAGAGCCATTATTAATTAATCACTTGTTTAGTATAAAGCACTTACTAAGTTCCATTGTATTTAACTCTTAATTCTTATAATACCCATATGAAGGAGTTAACACTATTATCCTCAGTTTACTGATGGGAACATGGAGGCACAGAATGGTTGAGTTAACTTCTCAAGGTCACACAGCTAGAAATTGAGGAGGTAGTATTCAAAGCTTGGCTGACTGCAGAGACTGGCTTTTAACAATACGCTATCACAATGTAAGTTCATAGTTTCCAAGGTGACTGATTTGTCAAATGATTAATACCAATTGCTCTCCTTCCCAAGATAAAAGTCAAAAAGATAGAGTTAAGAAGAAGAAAGCCTTTGCACTGGTCTGACTCACTGGTAGTTTTATGAAACAGTATATAGAAAAGGGAATATAATTTTCATTGATTCATGTACTCTCAGATGCTCCACAGCAGAAGGCTTTAGAGGACTCAACAGATTGCTCCCTAATCATCCAAATCCAGGCATTTTCTCATGAATAAAAGTTTGTAATATTTTCAAACTATTTAGAGATTGGCAGCTGGATACACTATTAATTCCTTTTGGAGCATCCCACTTAAGATGGGCTTTAATGCATGCAGCATTTTATTTTTAATTAAAATACTTAGTTCAGGGAGTATTTATTAATAATTCTAACAGCAGCAGATGGACTGTTTATGTGTTGTAACAATCTTTACCCAAAATCAGTCAAAATAATTAACAAAATGTAAATTATTAAGCACTTAAATATGTATTATGTATCATTACCATTCCCATACCATATTTTCATCTTTTATGAGTAAAAAAAAAGACAGTTAAATAATAATATATAGAATATTGCATACCAAATGTTCACAAAACTAGTTTCTGAAAAGAGTTTCTTGTTTTGTTACATTAAAAATATCATTTGTATCGGTAGCATTTTCTAACATTCCTGCTGCCTAGAAATGGAGTTAAAGACAAAATTAAATAAACAGAATGGTTCTTTGGTAAAAACATCTAAAGTGCTTTGCAAAATAATTGCTTCAAGTATTGAACAAGAACTTGAAAGCCAGGTGTGTCGTCATTTTTTGTTGAGACCCTGGAAAGTTCTTAATCTGTCCATTTTTCTGCAATTTGATAGGGTTGTTTTGTAACTTACGGTCTTAAAATTTCTTGAGAATTTTTGGCAGAAACAACCTTCAGTGTATAAAAGTATTTTTTCCTCTGTCTCCCTTGTCCCTGCCTCATTCTACAATCATTATGCTGCCTCTACATCTATTTCTTTGACTCTTCAAATGAATAGTATTGCTTTATCTTCCTCATGTTCTTGGGTCATCAAAGTGAAATGCAGTTTTGTAACTGTCTTGGTGATCTCTGAGCACTTTATACTTTTTTTTATAGGCTAGGTTTTAACTAGATAATGACATTGAAAATTACATAGACTGAGGCTGGGTGCGGTGGCCCACGCCTGTAATCTCAGCACTTAGGGAGCCCAAGGTGGGTGGATCACTTGAGGTCAGGAATTTGAGGCTAGCCTGGCCAACATGGCAAAACCCCATCTCTACTAAAAATACAAACAGTAGCCAGGTGTGGTGGTGCACACCGGTAGTCCCAGCTACAGGGAGGCTGAGGCATGAGAACTGCTTGAACTCAGTAGACGGATGCTGCAGTAAGACAAGATCGTGCCACTGCACTCCAGCCTGAGCGACAGAGAGAGACTTTGTCTCAATAATAATAATAATAGTAATAATAATAATAATGAATAAATAAATAATATAACTAGCAGAGTAAAGATTGTTTCATGGTTAAGACTGGGCATAACTCATGTACCAATTTGCTGCAGCGTTTGGTACAATATGTGTCTGTCTTAAAATTATGGAAACCATGAGTTTCACAGCATAGGTCCTAAAAACCATGCTTTGCTGTGGAAACAGTGTTTGTAGAAGTAGGGATTAAACAACTGCAATTTAATTAAAGTTGTATTTAAATTCAACTTTTAAAACTTATGTTAATTCAATTATTTAAATTCAATATTTTAATTCAAGTTGTATTTAAATGGTATTTTTAGATTATAATGTCAGCGGTAAAAGAGAACTTAAAGGTCATTTCAACTGTGTGACTTTGAATTTTGTCCTCATAGGCAATTCGTTTAAATTACCTAAGCCTTAGTTTCCTCACATGTACACCGAGGACAGGAATAGTACCTACCCAATAGATATATTGTGACTATTAAATGAGTTAGTCGGGAAAAATCTTTAATACAGCGTGTGGCATATGATAAGAGACTTTATCTAATCCATCTCACTTCCTGAAAAAACTGATGAAGAAACTAAGTTCCTTCATCATTATTTTTTCCCCCTAGATCACTAAATAGCTAGAAATGCCAGAAACAGACATGACATATCATGGATTCCAGGTCAGTGTTCTTATTTAATTAGGTATTCTTGATGCCTATTTGTTGGAAAAGAACATTTGTCTCTTAATTTTTGGGTTATAATTGGCAATAAATAATCACATTTTGTCTACAGGAAGAACCACATCAGTAAATTAGTCTTAGAGAGTGTTCAGTGGGTGCACTTCAATTATTTCATTTAATTTGCATCAAAAATATTTTAATCTAATTTATAATCTCTCTTATGGTTAATCTTAATACTTGTGAATGTTTTGTAGTAAATGTTATTTTCATAAATTTTTACCCTTTATGTAGTTTAAATTATGTTGTAGTTAAAACTATCAAATGATCACCATAAACAATTACTGTGTGGGTTTTAACATCTAAACAATTTTAGTAACTAAATGAAACAGATTTTTTTGCAATTTGACCAAACGCATAAATCAGCAAAGCCAGGTGCAATACTTATTATAAATGAATGATTTTATTAATTTTTAGATCATTAAAACTTTTGCCTTCCAGCAGCTGTCTTCTGGAACAGCTGCTAATACTTATATATAACATTTGTCAGTTTGTTGCATAAATCACATATATTGCTTTAAGGGAAGTTTAAGACATATTAATTATATTATATTCACTGAATGATTAAACTGATTTCAATTTTTTTGAAAGATTGGTAAGATAATTTGTGAATAGAGTTTTAAAAAATATTTGACTACTTATTATTTACATTTTTGTAAAATTTCCTTCTATTTGTGGGCCAAAGTAATTTATCTTATGACATGACTTAGCGTAAACCAAGATGATGATTTATATAACTTGCTTAAAGATAAGACATTAGCAGTTGTATTTATTTCCATGTTTTTTGACATTGAAGGTTAGTACTTACCACGTATGATGCCAACTTAGCAACGATAATGCATTGTCAGTGTGCAATGTGTCTTTCACCATTTAGTTCCCTTCTTTTCTCCCAAGTAGACATCTGTGGTCCATTCAGGGCAGAGCCACTACTCCTGGACCATAATGAGTCACTACTACTGTTCAAATGTCATCCGTTGAGGTGTTGAGTCTGTCTAGTCCCTGAGGTGTTTGAAGGCAGTCCTTCATTCTGCATTTCCTTCTTAGGTGGCTCAGGACAGTTGCTAAGCTTTGCAAAGTGCATGTGCAGTTGCCTTGAGGTTTCTAGGGTAGCATGTGTCTAGAGAGTTGCCAACATTAATTACCAGCATTTTCTGCTTCATATGGTGGCAGGGAGGAGAACTGGGGATTGAGCATGCTAGGTAGAACTTGAAGGAAAAAAAATGCCTTGTACTGTCTGCATATTTAGCATTCTGTCAGCCCCCTGGTCAACAGATCCTGCAAAAACCCCCAAGTAAAGCAAAGATGCAGATGCTCAGGGCTTGGCAATCAAAATCTTGGAATATCTCTAGAGTGGGAGTTGGCTTCATTAACTACTGTCAAATGTCTACCTTCCTAAAACCTTTATTCTGCTTGGAGTTTTACGTAAATGAGGCCATGACTCTTAGGATCAGAAATAAGGAGAGGGAGAAAGGAAAGAAACTAAGATCAATTTAAAAAGTTCATTCTTCGGATGTGAGGATCTCCTCGCCACAACCCAGTGAATTTTCTGAGAATACTTTATGGGGTTTTCAGTATTTTCTGTAAGCCAGTTTTACCAATTTAAAAATGTTTCCTAGTTGGAAAAGTGCATTTTACTTTATTTGAATACATTTTTGGTAAGCTTGTTAAAATACTCATACCTACATAATTTTTTTCTCTCTTATCCATCAATTATTTGGAAGTGAATCTACCTATTCCAGTAAACCCTATCCCATAGATGTTGGTGTTTAATTTTCCTTTTTTATCAAATCATCTCACTAATATTTTGATTTTCAATAGTATTATTAGCATTTTAAAAGATAAGTTCTGGACTCATTTTTTTTCAACACATAAAGGAATCTGTGTCCCTTAAAATTAAAATATTTTCTCTTCTATCCACTAAATGGTCCTTTACATAAAGACCTTGATATTGATAGCCACTCAATTCTCATGTAAACATTTACTAAACATTCTGAAATTTCTGTGTTGACTATATACCTTGATAATATTTCTATCTTTTTTTTTTTAACTGACTCTTCTCTCCCTCAAGGTGTTTCTTATGTTCTTTACATTGGATTGAATCACTTGCTGTGTGAGGGGAGAGAGCCTATCTGCCTGGATGCTGATAAGGTTTCTGGCAGAGTTGATGCTGAACACATGCTTGCTGAGTGGAGAAAAGGGGACACCTTTCCACTATCGTAATTTAAGTAAAAAGAGGAGGGTAGAGACATCAGACCTCTTAATATGTACCTCACTGAGGAGAGAGAATAACAATTCTTTTCTAGGAAAACTAAAATAGTACAGGGCTAGAAAACACTAGTTGAACATTGAAACCAACTAGAAAAACAGGTTCCTAACAGTCATTTAAAGCCCTAGTGAATGTATGCCCCAAGAGAAGAGGTTTAGAAACATTTAGCAAAGCTATACTTTGACTTTACTGAATAAATGAATCTTTAAAAGTAGCCCAGATTTTTATTTTAGCTTCAAAATTTGCCTTGGTTGTCTCATTGGAACCAATTTACAAATGTCAGAATTTGCATTAGAGTGACATCATATGGCTTTAATTAGGTATGTGATTGTTCTGGTCAATGATAATTATGAATTATTAGGTTCTACTCAAGCCAGGGAACTTGGATCTCAATTTCATATTTTAGGGTGAGGAGACAGTAGCAATGCAGTTCCTAAGGACAGAAAGACCAAAGTTTTGCCAGTTTGGAGTACCATGTGCTGTATTTGTAGATTACCTCTATTTTCTAGCTTATACCTGTCATGGAAAAATCAAAGCCCTTTCAGAAATTATACGTAGATAGATTATGCAAGTCTGTCAAATAAATGCCTCCTGTACAGGAAGGTTGGTAAGTTTTTACTTAGTAAAATCAGGAGGCAACTGTCAGAGACAGCACTAACATGGATAAGACTGGGTCATTTAGAGACTCACAAAGAAGACCACTGTCCTCGTTGGGAACTATGACAAAACAATGTCATTTTGTAATATAAATCCACCAAAAACTCATTAATAGATTCTGTTCATGGCCTATAAAAGCCATTCTCTCATTTCTTATTGCTTATGAAATCTCGTTTAAGATATTACATCAATCACATAGAGGCCCTTTGAATTGAGTAAAAACAAGGTCTGGCCTTGTTTGAGGTGGTTTGAGGTGAGCATATATCCTAGTTTTGGCCTGGGAAATAAAGGGGAATATCTACTAGAGTTTCTGGGAAGGTTTATTTTCACGGATAAAGAAAAATTTTGTTTTGCCTTTTATTTCCCACTGATCTGGGATGTGGAATAAGACAATAATGCCTGTTGCAGTGAAAGCCATTTTTTGACTATGAAGTGAGAAAACTAAGGAAGAAAAATCAACATATTTAAAAGGACAGAGAAATAAATTAAAAGACCCCAGTGTTAGTAGTAATATCATTGCTGCCACTCTGGAACCACCTGTCTTCAAACTTCTTATTGTGAGAAATAATTATATCCCTATATGTAAACCATTGACATTTGGCCATTATATTATTTGCAGCCAAATGTATTTTAATTGATACCATTTGTTTACATTTGAACATGCTCTTGTGTGAATAATACGTGCGTGTTTTAGGTAACTATGAAATATAAACATATGCATATCTTCTTTCCATTTTTAGAGAGGGGATTATAGGTTTGGGAAATTTCATATTGTAGAATCCATTGAAGTTGGTGTTATGTAATATTTACTTACAGCAAATAAAAATAAAGTCTATATTATGTAAAATATATAATGTACATGATACTAGTGAACTATAAGGGTGTTTACTTGAACCTGCACTCTGAATGCGTACCATAGATGGCCTTACTGATAAATTATGTCAAAATGACTTCAACTTATCATAACCTACAATGCTCTAATCACATACCGGTCACAAATAAAGTATTTGCGTATGTAACTCTCAAAAAGTCATTATTAATCATTAGGGAACATTAACTGGTACTTTAAATGGAAAATACACTAATGGAAAAAAAATGACTTGCTGTTATTGGTAGCTATGTTGGATTAAAATGCCACTTTTTTGACATTCCTTCTATTAAGATATAGAGACCTCTCCCCTTGAATGCAGACAGATACTGCATTAGTGATGCTGTTTCTGTTTCTGGACCCAGGCCTCAAGAATTGGTGGATTCATTTTCCTTCCTCTGAGAAGACCCTCTTAGGCACTAGATAAGAAATCCAACACCTTGAACATTCTATGTTGTGAAGAAGCCCAAGCTAGCCATGTGGACAGGCCCCAGGGATAGAAAGTGAGAGAAAGAGACCTCCATCAACTCCTAATTGTTCTATTCCTCCCAGCTTAGATACTAGACATATAGGTGAAGAAGTCTTCAAATGACTTCAATTTCGTCTGTCATCTGACTGCAGTCACGTGAAAGACCCTAAGCAGGAATCACCCAGATGAGCCTGTCAACGCTCAGAAACATAAGGAATAATAAATTATTTTAAGTCACTAAGCATTGGGGTAGTTTGTTATGTACCAGTAGATGACTAGTGTAGTGACCAATAACTAATAAAAGAACATTATACTGTGGCAAAATATTTTTACACTTTGGAAAAGAAATTGGAAAGGGAAAACATTTAAATTAAGTTATCCAAATTGGAAGAGTCTGTTTTCTGCCTATCTTCTGGTTCTCTTTGTATATGAATTTATTTTTTAAAAAAACAACATGTCTACTGCTACACAGATTAAAAAGCTGCTCAACATGAGTGGCAATGTTATGTACATAGCCCCATTTTATCTTTTGTCTATGTCCGGTGGATTGAGATGGGTGTGCCTCCTGTTTTAGAATATCCAGTCTTCTTTCTGTCATCCTGATCAGTGATGCAACCAGAAACTTGAACACTGATATAAAGATTTCCTTTTCCTCCTCCAGAAAGTTCTTGCCCTTGAGCAGGATTCAGTAGAAGCCTGCAATATTTGAAGCAGTCACCTAGCAGTTGTTTAACGTGGCTGACTATGCCCTGCAGGCTTATACAGAAGGAGATAGAGCAGGTTGTCAATTATTTCTGCACTCAGGGCTACGGACTAACAATATGCTTGAGTGAGGCAGAGGTTACACATCAGCTGCAATCCCACAGGCAATCCAAATCTGCCATTAATGGTAAGGAACTAAGAGTTTCAACAAGGTTGAGTTCCCTTGGTTGTGAGTTCCCAGTGAGGCAAACTTGGACCAGGATATAACAGTTCTTGTTAAGATAAGTCAGTGCATCAGCTAGAAGATGAACCGGTAGGAATGGCAGCAACATGTCATCAAATTATAGTTCAAACTCCAAGGTCTATGTGTTGTCAGGCCTTTATGACTCTGAGGCCTGCATCTTACTGACAGCACATGCAATCGGAGAGTTCCTGCAGATGTTACTTCCTCTGGAATAAAACTGTTGCATGAATTTACCTTATCATCATCCCAAAGTGTAGCCATTTTACAATGTTAAAACTATGGAAATACCTAATGAAGTGATTAGGGCATCTAATTAGAAGCCTCAGATTCAAACTTTGACATGATTTAGGGTAGTCTGTGGTGAACATATTTGTTAAGTTATAGAATGAAGTGTTGAAGACATCAGCTATAAATATTCTATGTCACCTGTTGGTAGAAAGGACACTGATCTAACAAATTTTTAAGTTAAATTAGTTCCACGATAACAAATACTGAAATAGTCCCCAAGGAAAGACCATTTCACATAAATATCATTTATTTTTCTAACCAAATGAAGTCTCCTCTTTGAGAATGCTGTGCTCCTTTATAGCATATTATGGGGATAGTTTCAGTCCACATACTACAGGATGGTCACAGTCCTCCAAGATATTTCTTTTGATCTTTCCCATGGTAGATTAAAAAAAATTGTTTCCTTTTTCACACATTTATCCAGATGTGTGGATAAATCTAATGAAATAAGAAACACAGGTTATTCTACTATTAGATCATATGAAATATTTATCATTTCTCCCCTTCTTGAATTAAAACTCAGTAGAATAGGTTAACCGTGGTCCTACGAAGCCCTACCTTTCTTTTTCACTCATTTGTCTCTCACTCTTCTGCGGTTTTCCTCAGAATCATAAAAGCAGATTTTAACTCATCTTGGAGTTTAGTATATAGTTGAGGGAAAATCATCCCTGGCAGACGTTTTTTTCTTCTGAATTCCTCATTATGCCTTGGCTTCTGGTATTCACAGGACTGGGATTTTGCAATGCTTCCATGAAACACTGGATGGCTCTGAGTTTAGTCTAAATGGGGAAAGGGCCAGGAAATAAACAGGAATTAAAGGAAATGAAAATCACAAGGAACAAAAGCACACTAATATGTTAAAATATTGCTTTCCTCCTTTATCAAATACAGTGAATCCCCTGTAGGTTGAACCTTTCTTCTTTTAGCTACATCCTCATATCATTTTTTTTCGTTTTATTTATTTTTTATTTTTTGAGATGTCATCCGGGCTGGAGTGCAGTGGAGCTATCCGGGCTCAAGGAATTCTCCTGCCTCAGCCTCCCAAGTAGCTGGAATTACAGGCACCCACAACCACACCCTACTAATTTTTGTATTTTTAGTAGGGACAGGGTTTCACCATGTTGGCAAGGCTGCCCTCGAACTCCTGACCTCAAATGATCTGCCCACCTCAGCCTGCCAAAGTGCTGGGATTATAGGCGTGAGCCACCATGTACCCAGCCTATTCATGTCTTTTTGAAAAATGTCTATTTCAGATTTCTGGATAGGGACCTAGGAGGATACTTACACTACATAGGGTGTCACTACATCTTCTCTCCTGGCTATTAGTTTTCTTCTTTACTATTACTATAGAAAACTAAAGCAGTCAACTTTGAAACCATTTTGATAGGAAATTATAGTGGTTAGGTTTATGTGTCAGCTTGGCTAGCCTTACGTCCAATCTATAGTTATTTAATCAAGCATTAATTAAGGCATTGCTGTATTTTGCAGGTGTGATTAAGTGAATAATCAGTTGATTTTAAATAAGATCACCTGAGTGGCCCTGATTCAATCAGGTGATAGGTCTTAAAAGTACAACTGAGGCTTCTCTAAAGAAGGAGTGTCGGCCGTGAGCAGCAGCTTCAGCTTGTGCCTGAGAGTTTTCAGCCTGCCCTTCCTGAAGGCTTGTGAACATGCCTGGCCACCACCCATAATCCATAAGCCAATTCTCTGCAGTAAATCTCTTAATATCTATCTCCCACTAGTTCTGTATCTCTGCTTGGACCCTGTCTGATACAGGGAGAAAGAGTTAATGGGTGATAATGGCTGAAGATGTTGTCTTCCTATGGAAAATAATATTCTTTTTAAATGCTTTCAAGGAGGCTTTAAATGTTGGCCTTATAGGTTCTGTCCTGTACAGTTCTCAGTGGCACCATTTGTATATCTTATGTTTTAAATGCCACCTCCTGAGGATTTTCAGTGTGATAGTTTTGGTTTTAACGCTGTTCCTTGAAGTAGTGAAAGTGTGGCAATTTGAGTCACTGTAGACGTCAGCTGTCTTGGGCTTCAGACACCAGATGCTGTTGATTGCTTCTCTACCTATGCATAAAAGCAGCCCCAGTGTACCCAGATTCTGAAAGAGTATTATTGAATCCATCTATTAGCCAAACTGTGGAGAATGAAGGATGAACCTTGCTCATAAAGAATTGCTGCCATCGAGGTTAAATGGTTGTGTTCCTAATAGCATGACATACTTTAGATGGAGGCCTTGGTGTTTGGAAAAGGGCTGGGTACTGTAAATTAGATTTCCAATCCTGGTATTGGAAAATAGCATATAAGTCATACTGTTCTGCAGGGCTGGTGGTCTAACCACCAATCTAATCATTGCCAAGCAGAGTTGTACTTTCTGGAGCCTCTCGGGGTTACTATTCTTTCAGAGATGACACAAAACATTTACTGAGTAGAATATGTATCTATTTTTTTCCAGTATTTCCTTGCGTTTCCAACTTTCTTTCGTCCTGTCTTTCATCCTCACTTCCTGATTTCTCTTAGTTTCACTTAAGTGATTCAGCAGGGAACTCACAGTTCTGATAAATTATTCTTATAAAAATAAGATTGTTTGGCTTATGATAAAATGACTATACCTTTGTCAGGCCTTCAAAGGAAGTTTTACTTCAGATGTTTAAATGTCAGAGCACCCTATAAAATTATCTAGAAGCACTGAACTGTCCAAAATAATTTTACAAAACCCCCCATCTTTTAAATTCTATCTAACAACTGTCAGTATTGCAGTGTCAGATCACCCAGCGGCATATGTGTGACCTCGCGGTATGCTGTCTTTTTAAAAAGCATGCACTCTTTCGCTTTCCCTAGTCCTTTTCTCCATCTGCCTGCTGACCCATGTGGCTGTTTTAACATCCACCTCAGTGGAAGCCTCATACCTGCCTGGCCAGCAGAAAGTAACACAATGACAGCAGTTTCTGTGGGACTGAAGAGGAGGGGATGAGAAAGCTTGGATGTCCTGTCTTTTTCTGGACAGCTAAAATGAAGATAGAGGACAGCTCCAGGAAAAGTCATGCCCTGGAATTTTCAATCAGCATGCATCGGTTTAGGGAGTGGGTGAATAAATGGGCAATCTATTTCAGGGCAGTTTCCCTTCTGGAAGAAGGGGCAATTTGTTTTAGGGTCACGTGCTGGGTAACTATCTGCATAAGAAACCCTAATAATTTCCAGCACAAGCTATTCACCAGAGAACCTTGTGACGACTTTCTCAGGAAGGTTAGTTTATAATGAATCAGAATCTGTCAACAAACTGATCACGATTGTGTTCACCCCAGTAGTCACCGCAAGTGTGTTCAGGGTGGTAAGTGCTTCCTTTGAGAGTATACAAGATTATTTACAGGCTAATTTTCATCTGAATTTCTTCCACACTTTTTACCATGACATTTAACTGGTATAATTTCTTCATATGATCATGTAGACAGTTATGTTGAGAGACCAAATGCCTCTTTGCTGAATTACATGAAGCAAAACAATATTTTAAAAGGAAACCAGCAAAAATGTTATTTTTACTCCTAACCCCCAAAATGACCTTTTTTTCCGTTAAATGTAGAGAGAAGTAATTTTTTTCATTAGAAAAGATTGTCTTTTTTTTTTAAATAATTGACTGGGTTCAGTAGATGGAAATTATTGACTACATAAGACTATATAAAAGCCATATGGAGGGGGTTACACTAATATAATTAAAATGTATTGATAGTTTTAAAAATACTTAGTCGTATAAACTATCTAATGGGTGTGTTCAAGTCTAAGTTATATTAATGCCAGTGGACGTTACACCAAACATACATGTGGTTGCCAGATTTTATTTTGAGATTTTAAATTTATTAGAACCTCAAACTCACATTAAAGGTCTCGTGTGGTAGAAACAAAGATTCCCTTAAACCTCTGTGAACTGAAATTGCCATGTCTCATATAGCTTTACAGTTTTACACAAGAACACTGTGGCGAGATGAAAGCTATGTTCTGTGACATCCTCTGTGGTATTGTTGTGTCTCCAGCTCTCTACCCTTGAACAATCCTGTTTGGTGACTTCTGTGTCTCTGTGGGTAACTCAGGAAATCTGTCTGATGTAACATCTTGGAAGGCACAACTCCAGGCTAACTGATCAGAAAACACTTACAGAGCTAGCTCAGACTATCAGTTAGCTTTCTAAATCTTCATTATGTTAAAACAGAAAATGTCGTAGTGAAAAAGAAGACAGTTTGTCCCCATATCTCTGTCTCAAAAAGTATGTTTGTTCACTGATGACCCAAGGATTTTTCCTAAAAAATGAAGTTGGTCAAAGGCAATCAAAGACAACTCTTTATTTTGGAGAGAATTCAAACTTTGAGGCAGCTGACTCCTCTCTGTTCAATAATAGCAATCTCTTTAATCAGTGTTAGGTCGATAGTGAAATATTTACTGTGGATGCTTCCAGAATGATTTGAAGCCAGCTCTTTGGAGAGCATTGATAATCTCAGGGTAATCTAAGCCATCCTTACGTGCGGTGTCAATGTGCTGAACTGAACAATGCCTCTGATACAGATCTGTGGATCATAAACAATAAAGAGCTATTTTAAGAGATTTCATATAAAATCACCTCTGACTAAGTACATGCCAGGGCAGATCTCAGTGGGGGAGAGGAGAAATGTGAGATTTTAGAATATCAGTAGTAAAGATCAGAACATGGTAAAAGCCCAATTACATCAAAGTTGAAGGACCTTTAAAAACATATTTTTAAAGTGGTGTGTTTTTTTGTTATTACTATATGTGCTATAACTTTTGCTCTATCTTTTGTTAGCTATCAATATTTTAGCTTTTCCTCTCATTACTAAATGTGCTTCAGCACTTCTGGGACAGAGATTATGAGATTTTCTACATTTAGTTGATCTCATCCTGTGAATTTACTGAATAATTAAACTTCTAGGAAGATACGTTGCTAAAAACAAGTGATGGGTTAGTTTTGACTGCAATGCTGTATAAATTATTGAAGTATATCTCTAGAAAACAAGCTTAATAGCCTATTATAAAGCTTATTTGAATAAAAAGACAAGAACAGTCACTCACAGAGATTGTCTAGCAGCACTTCACAGACAATTGCACAAATTATCTAAAGGTGGCATGACGTAAGCTCCATTCCATTTATAATATGACATAGTTGATATGGACCACTGCTTGCAGAGCCATATCTCAATTATTTTAAATAGAAAACTTTAATAAATGCACTCAATTAGAGCTCAGTTTTAATCAGTTGCAACCTGGGGTAGGCAATGTCACTTTTCAAAGAAGCAAAACCTTCTTTCAAACAATTATGGGACTTGAAAAGATTGTATGCATGGGATGAAGTTGTAATTCTAAAACACTAAAGGTGCTTCTGCAGAAGTATTTTGTAGTAAATTTGCCTGTGCAGCATACAATTGTGAAGAAAAAAGCTTGGGCAGGTTGTGACATGTTACCATTGGAACATTTAGAGGGGGCTTACTAGTAAGTTACAAATTTCATCTCCAAAATTCAAAATCTAGACTATGACAAATTATTGTATAGAAACACTTTATTTTATATGTTCCTGATTAGTAAGATTAATTATTTATAACTGATAGGGCATCAAGGAATGAATTATGGTTTTGAATTAATTTACAAAGGAAAACATGTATGCATAGTAATATTGGTACATTCACCTAAATTTAAACTATTTCTTATATTTACAATCAAACCTGGTTGACAATACCTGCAAGGTGTTTAAAGATACCAATTTCATATGATTATCTGTATCTATTCAATCAGTCATTTTCCAAATATTGAAAGTCTTCAGAATGATACAAGAATCCTCCATGTGGGCACAATGCAATGTTTTACAAATAAGCTTTATCAGTCACTTTTTTAGAAAGATGTCAATGGATATTTTAATAATTTAATGTCCTTCTTGATTGGATTCTAATTTGTAATGCACACACTACAAAAATATTAGGGTCAGAGTTACACAATGCTGCTAAAAGCATTCTATAATTTATCAAGATATGTGTGCATGTATACATAAATATGTGTGTGTATCCAAGTAATATAATTATGTATAACATTTAATATTCAACTTCAGACTCATATTTAGTTGCCACACCCTGGTACAGAAGTCTAATTGGACTGGTGTCTGCTCTGATAAAATTACCCTAAACAGATGTCAAAAATTTTTAAAATATTACTCTCTGTAAAACAAGGTGATCAAGATAAGCAACACTGCTTATTCTAAGGTCTCTGGTATGTATTAGTAAATTTTACTGTTCATGTGACTTCTGATCAGATTCTTTATGTATTGTGAGGTTCAAACACAATTGACACAAATAATGAAAATTTTCAGAAAAAGATTTATAAGAGCAAGATAAAACAAGGGGATCATTTAGCTAAGAAGAGAGGGGGGTTAGAGGTTAAAGTACTTAATGTTGAAAGTATGATAACCAGAAGCTGGGTATGTACACAAATGACAGATCAGAAAGAAATTGGTGTAACTGCCAATAGCCATGAGCACCCACATATAAAATACCCTTGCTTAACCTGGGGGTTGCTTTCATGCCTGAGAAGTTCTGTGGTTAGCAAAAACAAGTTTGAAATGTTCAGAACTCAAAATAGTGTTTTAAGGATCATGTTTCAAGATTGTTCTTTCTCTCTCCCTTTTAAAATTTTTTTTGAATCAGACACTTATAGCTTGAAATTTAACATCTTTAATACTTGTATTCTCCTTGTTCAGTTTTCACAGGAAGTAAACTGCCGAATAATGCCTATTTAAAATAAAAAATCTTGGCCTCTTGTTTTTCCAGAGCCTAGTAATTCATCTATTTATATGTTTTTTCAATCAATCAACTATCAGATGAAGAATAAATTCATCTTTTTTTTTTCCTGTGTCACCCATTCTTTACCATTCTTCAAGTATGGATCATTGATTGCTGTCAGGTTTTTATATTTAAGACAATTTTATTGGCCCAGATTATATAAAAGGAATCACATGTTTAAAATTTTCAGCATACAAACATAAGACTGTGTTATTTAAACCATAGTTGTTGAGAGTTAAATGTACATCAATTACAACTCCCACCCCATTCCTATTTTTCTCTTTAGTTATTCAAACTACAAATTTATGAAAAGAAGCAGACATGATGTTTTAATTGTTTACTTCTGCTATGTGACATAAAAAATTCAGGGTAAAAATAGTTGCTCTATAATTATTTGAATTTGGTTAACTGCTTGCTGATAAAATTAGTCCTACCTAGATCTAAATAATAGATAATTTTTTGTTTGGTCCTGTTTATTCCTCTTACTCATATTCCTCAAAAGTTTGCTATTCCAAACCAATCATTCCCTGTCTTCTTCCTAAATTTACCATCTGGTACCCACTTTCAAAATATGAGAAGAAGATGTATATACACACACATATTTGAGAAATAGTTCTATTGTGGGTGAGTGGCTAAATGCTGACATTCTATATACTGGAGAATCTTAATTCTCTCTCTTAGCTTCGTGATTACAGGCTGCAGTTTTATTCTAGACTTTTTTATGGAGTTCAAATATTTACCTAATATAAGCTAATCATTGCTTGGTTATAGAAATTGAAAAAATATTTTCATTAAAACTTATAAAGTTATATGACCAATGAAAAATTTCAGATCCCCACAATTATTCATTAAGAAGTTTTGTAAGATTATTTTGAGGAGCTATATATGTGTGTGTGTGTATACATATATATATAAATATTTATGTATGTAGGTATACATTTGCAACTTGGGATAAAAAAATCATGCCTCTTTTTAGGGATCCAGCTGGGCCATAATTTAAATCATGAAAAGTATCTTTTAATGCACCCAAGTTTGTTCTTTAAAAAATTTACCCCAGTGCATTCCCTCTCTGAATGTAACCTGGTGAAACTTTTTCCCTTTGTAGTTATTCAGCTCAACTAAATAACTTTCTAGATTGACACACTGAGCATTAGAAAATCAAAAAGAAGATGGTGAAGTTTCACAGTCAGTACTTGATTTGATATTCCTTTAAATTTAAATCATGACCCAGCTGGATCCCTAAAAAGAGGCATGATTTTTTATCCCAGGTTGCATTCTATTGAGCTGCTCTGTGAACTGACTTCAGAAGTATCTGGGAACATAGAGGCAGGTGCAGGAATGGTTTAGAGACTGAGGTAGAGATTAAGTTTTTCTAAGTCTCCAAGAGCAAGGGGAAACAGTGTTTCCATAACAGTTAAAGGATTCCACATGTGAAAAGGGGACATAATGAGTTGTCATTTCTACTCACTTTGTGGAATTTCTCTAATCAGATACTTTCTTAGGAAATCTTGCCTTCTGATTTTGAATAGAAGATACGATGTCAGTTTATGTGCCAAGAAGAGGTCTCCAAAGCTGTATCTTCTTTAGAAAGCCAATTTAGTTTGTGACTATTATTTAATTCATTTGAGTAGGCTGAGAGTCAAAATAATGAAAAACTCAAGAAATCAACCTTTACGGATTTTAGAATCAGTCATATAACTAAACCAGCCCCATCTTTCTCCCCTTTAGGAAATGACTGCTGGAGTTGCCAAGAACTCCTTCCTGTCCTGTTCTCTCTAAGGATCTCTATAAAATTATATTTTCCTGTAAAGCTCACAGCATACTTTCATTTCCAAGAGCCATGCAGAGATTTGGTGTATTTGCAATTGTGTAAAACTCTCTTCTCTAAAACACTTTGGTGTCTAAAATTTGAAGCTCAGGGAAGTTAAAATGCCACCCATCAGCATTCTCTGGAACACAGGGAGGCTCTGAGGGGTTAAAGTCAATCACTAGGACCACGACTACTGCCAATAATCCTACAGACTCAAATTGAATTTTAGCCATCCTGTGCACATGCACAGCTCTTGAAAGGAGAAAAAAAAATTTTTTTTCCCCTCACATGGGGGATGTAGGCAGAAACAGTGGCAGAAATGGAATCCATTGCATCAAATGGCTTGTGTGCTGATTGAATTTAAAATTGGACTTTCTTATTCCCCGATTTTTGCTTCAGAGATGTGAGAAGGGGGAGGCAGGTGTCTTGTAAATAAAAAATGTGACTCAGCTGTAAAACATGGAATGGGGGGAATAAAGAGCTTCATTGTTCATTTTTAAAAAGGAAGAAGAATAGGAATCTGCGTAACAAATGGTCTTGGCAGTTACCAGAACTCAGCTTCTGCACAACAAATCCAAATAGCATGACGCTTCTCTGATTCTAGGTTTTACTAAATTTTAATGAGTGTTGAAGTAACTTCATAGGAAAAATCTCACTGGCATCTCTAGAAATCCTTTTCCTTTTATTTATCAAAGCTTCCTTAACACTTTTAAAGAAATAGAAATAAAACAAAATAACTATCTTCCAAAATATTCTTTGACAAATAAAATATATTTGTGCTCTGACAGAGGGTGAATGTTTACCCAATAGCCTACCTATTTTACTCCACTTAAAATTTGCAGCGGAAGTTTAATCCAATAATTTGAAAATGTTTTAGTTTACTTAAATGATTTCTCAAACTCCATTATTTGAGAGAGGAAGAGATAAGGCAGCCAGCTTCCGTAGGAAGAGACATCATTTCGTTGCAATGTAGCAGATCCAAACATGCTATTTTCAGTATGTATTAGAGTTTCCTTACTTTGGTTTTTCCATCAAAATCATACACTAGAATTCGATATTCTCCTTTCAAATAAAGCAAATTCCCCGTTGTCTTCAAGAAAGTTGTTCTTAGCCACCTTGAATTTAAAGAGGAAAACTCCAACAGCAGTCAATAAATAAGAAACACATTGGTTACTTAAAAATTCTCTCTTGGGTATTGTCCAAGAGACTCTAGGGACCTGGGGAAATAGAGTATTTTAAGAGAAACAGAAACATACTTCAGAGAAGGAGGTATTGAATTTCTTCATGAATGTTTTTATGTTTAGGCTCTGTTGAACTAGGGAATAGGGATTTAAACAGCCTGTATCTTCTTTTAATGGTGTATCTTGGTTGCATACCCATCAAATGATAAGAATTACAGGAACACTGGGTGTTCTATTTGATTCTAAAAAAAATAAGACTATGAAAACAGTAAAAGTAGATGAATGATGGGCAAAATCTTGTCTAGAAACTAAGTTCCCAGTGAGAGGTGCATCAGATAAAATCAAGGTCCAAAGACAACTAGGTGCTATAGGTCCTGTAATTTGTTTTGTCGTATTGAAAAAAACTTTTAAAATATATACAAGATGTTGTGGTACCACTGAGGAAAATTAGAAGGCTTTATTCTTAATCCAGAAGAACATAGATTCAAGTGATGCAGGTGGGATGAAAAATTACCTTAAATAAAGAAGCAGGTATCTTAATTTATTAACAAGAATAATATCAGGCCAGGTGCAGTGGCTCATGCCTGTAACCCCAACAATTTGAGAGGCCGAGGTGGCAGGGTCGCTTGAGCCCAGGAGTCTGAGACCAATCTAGGAAACATAGTGGGACCCCATATCTACACTAAAATAAAATAAATAAAAAAATTAGTGGGGTGTGGTGGTCGGCAACTGTAGTCCCAGCTACTCAGGAGGTAGAGGTGGGAGGGTCACTTGAGCCCAGGAGAGAGGCTGCAGTGAGCTGCGATTGCACCACGGCACTCCAGCCTGGGTGACAGAGAGATACTCTGTCTCTAAAATAACAACAAAAGCAATATTACAAGGAGTGAGGAAAAAGATCTCCAGAATAGTCACAGAAAAAAGTAATTGAGAATCTTTGATAATAATTTTATCAGACACAGAAGAAACATATCAATTATAGAAATATCCTTATAGAAAACCTAAAAAAATACAATATGGACACAACCACTATAAATATTTTAGCATATTTTCTTTCATTCTCATTTCTGTGTTTGCATAAATGGAAAATTAATATTACTTAAATTAAAAGATTGCTTACTCCAATCCTTTTTTTAAAATCACATTATCCCCTACCACTATTCAGGTGCAGAGTTACCTTTAAATACCCCTTGCCCTGAATATGAGGTTATATACAATCTAAAAAATACTATGTTAACTAAAGTGCAAAGTGGATTTTGAAATGTATCCCGAGAACAGGATATTGAAATGTATTGAAATGTAATCCTGAGAAGAAAGCTTTCTTTTGCAAGAACCAGGCTTTGATAAGATAGAATAAGATTCCTATGTTTCAAGAAGTCAGAGCCTCAAAGACTTAACGTATTTATAATATGAACTAAAGAGTAATTCTCTTAAGAGCACTTTCCTTTCTAAAGTGATATAAGCACAGCTAATTGGCCGGGGATGGGATGTTAGAGAGCTTTGCAATAGAGAAAACAAGGTTATCACTGCCCGCTTCTAGCACTAAAACTGCAGACGTGAGGGTAGTGGAGCCCAAGCAAAAGACTTTTCGTGGTCGAATGGTGGAGACTGCAGGTCTATGACAGTTTTCACATACAACCCAATATCTAAGTGCTGTATGAGCCACGGCAAGAGAAGTGTCTATGTAGAAAATCTCAAGAATGCCACAATAGTGCAGGGAAAATAGCTTCCTTAGTCTCAGGTTAGAAAGAAATTAAAACATGCTGAGAGGATCAGCTAACTAGTAGAGGACTGAAATTGTGACTAGGCCAACTCAGAGAACAAGGGTTTTGAGATCACAAGGCATAACGAGGCCATGGACATAACTAGGAGATGTAGTGGATATGGTGGATACCAGAATCTGCTGAAAACCAGGCCAGGCAAGTTTGCAGGAAAAGGGATAGTGACTCAAACACATGTTTATCTACTGAATCAGAGACATTGAGAAAGCTCCCTGGGAACGTAGGCCTTTCTGGAAAAGAAAAATACAATGAGAAGAGAGAGAATCTTGATTTAACTTAGTTGAAATAATAAATTGAACATGTTAATGATGGAGTTATTGTCTATTTTAACTTGAATTATTTTTTTCTTTGATTCTTAACTGAAATGAGGACTTATGAACTAAATTGCTTTACATTTTAGTCAAACAAGTTGTCTGGCATCCTGATCATATAATTTATTTAATGATTTTATATTGATAGACATTTTTATTATTTTTTTCTATTTTAAGTAATATGCTATAAACATTATATATAGATTAGTATGTCTCACTGATTATCTTTACAATGACAAATTCCTAGTAGTATAATTACTGAATCAAAAAATCTGATTATTATTACATACTTTAACTTTCACTTCTGAATTAACATATCAATTTATTCTCCAATTAACATTGCCTAAGAGTTTCTGTTTCCCTTGTTCTAACACAGGCAGTTAAAATTATTTAACAATTCGAAAGGCCAAGACATGACAGTTTTAATTTTGTTTCTTTGATTGCTAGAATATGCGAAAGCCTCTAAAGACACTGAGAATACATTATAGATTTTCTAAAGTTTTCTTCTGTTTCCTGAAGTACAACAAAAACTACTATTCAGGGAAGCATTAGTTTTGCCTCTTAAATTGGCCCTGTTCTTGTGTCTGGGTTTGTCTGTTTGCTCATACTAAATAGGGGAAGTGAGACCTCTGTTCAGAAACGAAGTTAAAATCAGTTGGCTCCAAGAATGTGAAGTCCCTGTTCAAATGTGTCCATGATAAGGGAGAAGAGAAATTTAAGATTTGCTTGCTGGAGTCTTGATTTACCACATTAAATGGTCCGGTTGCCTGAAGGAAGCAAGGAGGGAGCTTTAGCTTAATGTGCCTATCTAGGAAGTATCTTCATTACCTTTCTGAAGATTTTCTTTTCCATTTTCGTTGCAGGAGAATGAAGTGAGTGAAAGTAGTTTCCGTCTTTCTATTTGGCATTTTGAGATACAGGGAGAGAGTTTAACAACACATGGACTCAAACTCCCAGTTGAGCAGTTGAGTATGTGTTAAGGCTTTTTTCCTTCAGAGGATTTTATGGTTTATATATTCGTTAGCGATGCATGAAAATATCTATCCACACCTTCACACATTCCAATGTACAACGTGATAGACATTCTATGCCAATATTGTGTAAATTTGGATTTCAGTGAGTGAAGGTGACTATTTCATATAATTTTTATTACTTGTTTTCTTTTCATATATGCTAGTCTAATGAAAGATATAATAATGCCAGAATATCAAACATGTATAATATTGCAGTAATAAATTACTCCGAAACTTAGCAACAACAAAACTTTATCTTAGAGAGTTTCTGTGCATAGGGTACAGAAACATACATAGGGTATTTGGGAGTTCTGGGTCAGGTTCTCTCAAGAGGTGTAGCATCATGTTGCCTGGGGGTACGGTCTTCTGAGGGCTTGACTTTACTGTTGGATGTACTTCCAAGATGGCTCACTCACATGACTGTTGGCTAGTATCCTTGGTAGCTATTGGTAGGAAGCATTCATTTCTTTCAATGAGGATTTCTCCATAGGCCTGTTTGTGCTGTTACAATATTGGCTTCCTCCAAAGCAAGTAATCCTAGCTAATAAGACAGAAGCCTCAATGTCTTTTATAACCTAGCTTCAGATATTACATTCTGTTATTTCTACAGTACCCTCTTGGTAACATGTCAGCCCTATTAATTTTGGAAAAGGACTGTAGAAAGATTTCAAAAGTCAGCCTCCTGATCCCTCCCACATGGATGCCATTCTCACCCCACTTGAATTGTGATAACCCACACCTGGCTGTCCTCTTACACAGACACCTTCATGTCCACATGGGTTTCAACACACTGCAGTGTTCTAACTTTTAGTAAAGGGCCGTGCTCACCCCTTATGGTCTGTGAAGCTCAAATTCAGGCTTTCCCAGTGTAAACACACTCTCCTTACTATAATATAGCTCTGGCCATCCATTTTGGGCCATTGTGTCAACAACTTTCCCTAACTCTTGAGGGAACACCTACTTTTTTCAGTCCCATGAAGAAGGCAAAAGGAAGGGTCGAAAGGGAGGATACATTTATTAATGGGAGGAATGCTAGTAGCATTTCCTGAAATATCAGGAAAAAGGCAAGGTGCTAAACATCTACATTTCTTTCCAACACTATGCTGAAATTTATATTAATATTAAAATAAAACAAATCAGTAGCATAAGGATTGGAAAGAACAAGTCAGACTGTTATTACTGGAAAATGATATGGCCCTCTACCTAGAGAAGCCAAAAGAATTTATGAACAAATTATTAAGTATTATAAGGGAGTTTAGCCAAATTGTGGGATATATTAGTACATCGGTGCATACAAATACATTATTGTCTTTTTACACACCATTGACAATGACAACAAAAATAGAAAACAATAATTAAAAATATAACTTATGACAGCAATAAAAATGAAAACTAAAAACTTCAAATGAAAACTAAAAGACATGGGTAAGACCAAATAAAAATTTTAAAATTATATTAAATATATTGGCAGGCTTAAATAAATGAAATATGTCATAAGCATGGAAAGAAGACTCAGTATCATAAATTTGTATAGCTTCTCACTTTAACCTATAGTTTTGGTGCAACCCAATTAAAATGTCCAAAGGAGTTACATAAATATTAATAAGATGTTAATTCTAAGATATATATTAAAGAGAAAAATTCTAACAATTGCCTAGTCAGTCTTGAAGAAGAAGAAAAGTATGGGAAGGGGGCAGTTGCCTTATCTGATAGCAAGGCTTCTTACAGAGATAATGCAGCATTAGGGCCAATAGACAGATATATTGACCAACAGAACAGATTATAGAGCACAAAAACATATCAATTTAATTAAAAATTAAGTGTAAAACATTAAACATTTTAGAAAGAATTAGAAGTCTATCTTCTTTTTTAAGTAAGTTAGAAAAAGCAAAAAACGTACATACAAAATTAATAAGTGTAATTCCATTAAATATGGAATGTCTTTTTTCATTATAATGAAGTGAAAAGGCAAGTAGCATACTAGGAAAAAATACGCACAATATAGATAGCTGGTGAAATAACATACAAAAACATAAATTGTTAAGAAAAATTTCAAGTAAAATAATAGGCAAAATACATAAACAGGTATGGCAGACAAATGCTAGGGTTGCCTTTGCCATGGTCCCTGCCTCCTGGCTGTTCATGTATTTTTGTGAGCCCCTTAAGCGTGGGCAGTGCCAGTGACTTACTTCTAATGGATAGAATATGGCAACGGTGATCGAATGTCATTCACAGGATTATGTTACATTACATAGACTGTTTTCCAAGCAGACATATGCTAGAGACACTTCTTACATGCGTGTTGAAGTATACTAACATTTTGAGAAAACCTTCATGGCAAAGAACTGTCGGCAGCCTCTGGAAGCTAGGGATAACCTCTAGAAGCTGAGGGTGTTTTCCACATGACAGTTACCAAGAAGTCCCTACCCTTAGTCCTACAGTCAAAGAAAATGAAGCCTGCCAACAACCTGGGGGAGCTTTGAAATATATTCTTCCCCAGTTGAATGGCCAGGTGAAAATTCAACCTGGCCATCAACTTGACTGTAGCCTAGTGAGACTCAAAGCAGGACCCAGTTAATCTATTCCTTGATTCTTGACCAGTGGAAACCCTGAAATGACTGTGCTTTGTTTTCAACTACTAAGTTTGTGATAAGTTGTTACACAGCAATAGATAACGGATACAACATGTAGTTCACAGAACTGGAAGGACATATGGCCAAAACAAATATATGTAATCTTATTAGTCATCAGTAAAATGCAAATCAATACCACAGTGAAATACCTTCTGTTTATCCAATATGTTGGAAAAAAATCTAAAATTTAGTTTGAAAATAACAAGAGCTGATGTGGTAGTGAATAAAATAAAACTCATTTCAATTTCTTTGAAAGTGTACATTGGTTCACTGCTTTGTTAAACAGTTTGGAATTATCTCGGAAATATGATCAGCAGAGTTGCTCTAGGGTGGGAAGATTAAGAGGCTGTAAGAGGGAAGGAATGTATAGGTGAATGAAAATTCACCTGTTCTGTTCTATGTACTGTTCTCATTCTTGGGTGGTGATTGGCAAGTGTTCACTTTGTTATTATACTTTATAAATAACTTATGATACAAATATCCCTTTGAATGTTTTATATATTATGTGATTAAAAGGTAATGAAGGAAAAATAATAAAAAAGAAAGGATAAAACTTTTAAAGATTTAAAGGGATAAATGGACAAACCTTGTTCTTGAAAATATCAAAACGAAACACTGACTTCTACTGTCAGTGTGTATGTAGGGGGTGAGGGAGTGGAGAATGAGAAAGTAAATAAATCAGCAAAATTTTGATGAATCGTAAATAATACCATTAAAAATATTCTAATACCACTTTTTCAAGAGAAAAGACTGAAGATTTATACAATAAAATTAAATATTTATAGAGTATTTTCATGTCTTTGCAGATAATATTCACTCTCCTATATCTAAAATTTAATTTCTTTCTTTTCCTCAACTTTTATTTTAGATTCAGTGGGTACATGTGCAGGTTTGTTACCTGGGTTATCTGGGATGCTGAGGTTTAGGGTATGATTGATCCCATCATTCGGGTCCCGGGCATAGTACTCTCACCCTACTCCTTCCTCCTCCTTCTAGTACTTTCTAGTGTCTCTTGCTGCTATCTTGCTGCCATCTTTATGTCCATGTGTACCAGTGTTTAGCTCCCATTTATAAGTAAGAGCATGTGGCATTTGGTTTTCTGTTCCTGTGTTAATTCACTTAGAATAATGGCTTTGGCCGGGCGCGGTGGCTCACGCCTGTAATCCCAGCACTTTGGGAGGCCGAGCTGGGCGGATCATGAGGTCAGGAGATTGAGACCATCCTGGCTAACACGGTGAAACCCCGTCTCTACTAAAAATACAAAAAAAAAAAAATTACCCGGGCGTCATGGCGGGCGCCTGTAGTCCCAGCTACTCGGGAGGCTGAGGCAGGAGAATGGCGTGAACCAGGCAGGCAGAGCTTGCAGTGAGCCGAGATCGCGCCACTGCACTCCAGCCTGGGCCACAGAGCGAGACTCCGTCTCAAAAAAATAAAAAATAATAATAAAATTTAAAAAAGAATAATGGCTTCCAGCTGTATCCATGTTGTTGTAAAGAAAATCATTTCATTCTTTTTTATGGCTGTGTAGTATTCTATTGTATGTATGTCCCACATTTTCGTTATCCAGTCCACCACTGATGGTCACCTAGGTTGATGTCTTTGCTACTGTGAATAGTGCTATGATGAACATGCAAGTCCACGTGTCTTTTTGGTAGGACAGTTGTTTTCTTTTGGATATATATCCAATGATGGGATTGCCGGGTCAAATGGTAGTTTTGTTTTAAATTCTTTGAGAAATCTCCAAACTGATTTCCACAGTGGCCAAACATTTAAATTCCCACCAACAGTGTATAAATGTTCCCTTTGCTCTGCAGCGATTCCAGCATCTGTTGTTTTGACTTTGTAATAATAGCTATGTTGTTTTGACTTTCTAATAATAGCTATTCTGACTGCTGTGAGATGGTATCTCATTGTGGTTGATTTACATTTCTCTGATGATTATTGACGTGGAACATTTGCTCATATGTTTGTTGGCTGCTAGTACATCTTCTTTAGAGACATGTCTGCTTCTGTCTTTTGCCCATCTTTTTTTTTTTTTTTTTAATGGGGATCATTTTGCTTGTTTAATTTTAGGTTACTTAGATTCTAGATATTAAAACTTTGTCAGATGTATAGTTGTGAATAAAAAATGTAATATCTACTGAAGCTATTTACAACTCAACATCATATACTAATACTCTTCATTTAGGAATAAATATTATGGCCTTCATTCAAAACTGGAAAAATATTATACCCCCAATTCCTTTATTGTGTCATATAGCTTATGGAAAAAATGTTAATTTGCTTTCCTCTTGCAGAAGAATGTTTAATGCTGTTAAGGAGTTGATGATATAAACTTTAATGCTATCACTATTAATTGCTAAAATAATATATGGCATGACCAGAAAGGATGTATTAAATTTATATCAAATTAATTCCATCTTTTAGTTTTATTTTCTCTATATAATACATGATAATGAGATCTCTCAAAATTCTAAAGCCAACGCCACACATAGTATCTTAGATATTAGGCCATGCGAAATTAAACTGGAGTCTTTGCTACACTAGGAATTTTAAAATCACATTTTTGTTACTTGAAGTCAACTTCGCTGACCCAGCAGCTCTATTTCCTTCCTCGTTTTTTCCCAACAATTGAAAAATGGTAACATTTCAATGAAATGTTTCCTAAATGAATAGCAGGAATTTTTTAGTTTGTCTACATTTTCCATAGGTACCCAAATTCATACACACAAACAAACACATATAAGTGTATATAGTTTTACAATTTTTAAAGTTAAAAAAATTGTTACAGTTGCCTACTTTAGTGGTCATGTCTTATTTAAAATCACCTTATGGAAAAAAATGAACAACTGTAGTATGTATACAACTGTAGTATGTATATAAATTTCCTGTAAGATGGTTTTAGGTTTTAAATAAGACATGACTACTAACATAGGAAAGCATAACAAATTTTTAACCTTAAAAATAAAAAGATAAACTAAAAGTGTCCTTGTATAACTTCAAGATCTGTTTGACTTTCAGGTGAAATCAAAGACTTTTCTATAGTTTATTCCCATCTTTATATTGAGCTTATTTTAGCCTCAGTAGATCTATGATATACTGTTCTCAGCGGAATAAGAAACAAGTAACATGGATGGCTTAATAGAGAATTTGACTTTGGATTTATTTCCTATTTAAGCTCCAAGAAATTTTCACAAAGACTGAAATGTTTTGGACTATTTTTAAAAGAACAAACAGAATTCTCCCTGCTCATACACTATCTACAGGCTAAAAAGCACTCTGACAGCTAAAAAAAAAAAAAAAAAAAAATTCTCTTTGAGATGGCAAAATGGAACCCCCTAGTAGAGTACTTCCTCTAGAATAATGTCATTGAACAGTTCTAAGTCCTTTGTTCTTTCTAAGCCTACTTTGAAAATGGAAAAGTTAAAGATGTGAATATAATATAATGGAATTCTTTGTGCCCTCCTTTATGAGAATAGGATATTTCATGACCGAAGGAATCCATGAAACTTTGCTATTGTAGGTCCATCCTTTTCTTTGAGTTTGAATGTGGAACGAGGTTACTTGTTCTTCCATGTATTTACAAATCCATTATCAATTCTCTTTATGATGATTACATTTCATTTTCATTTAATGTCTCCTTCAAGATAGATACAACTTCTGAGCATCAGATATCCAAGGTAGCCATTTTTTTTACAACAAAAGGAAATGGATTAAATAGGAAATTATTATTTCTAAAACATGCTGTTCATGTTTTAGCAAGTAACAAAAGAACAATTTGTTTCAATACTGTTTAACTCCAGAAAGATATGTTAATATCATTATTAAAGTATTTACTAAGTAAATATTTGTTTATGATCTGGTTGCTTTTGCAAAGGAAGAGAATCTTCCTATGTAAAGTCATAAAATAATACTTTTTTTTTTTTTTACCATTTTCAAATATAGCATTTAACAGATACTGTGCAGAATATAACACAGACACTTTTCATAGATGTTTCAGGTGGCAGCTTAACCATGGTTGCAGTCAGTGTGTAATATCTGACTCCAAATATAGTGGGAAAAATGTTCTCTTAAACACCCCCTTACGTTTCTCCCATCCAAGTTTGAAAAAAAATTATTTCACAAATTACTTGAAATAGTACAGCTAATTACATTAATTTTCTTATTCATCTTTTAAAGGATTTTACTTTATTATTTTAATAGTCTTGATTTTCAACACCATAATATTAAGAAAAAGAACATCTTACAGCCATTTCTAAGTTTGATTTTACACTTAAATCCCTGGAAAATGTACTGCTACACAAGGGAATAGTTCAACTGAGGCTTGGCATATGTAACTAAAAGAGTAATTTTCATTTGAGATTTACATGTTATATTGCCATTTTTTAGAAAGTAATTATACAAAAATATATTCCAACAGGTTTTACAACAAACTCTATTTTGTTTTTCTTGTCCAATAGTCCAGTACATTTGAACAGTGACTACTGAAATAAAACTAATTACTTAAAGCATAATAGATATGTGTACTTGTTTGGTGTTGCTTGGAAGACTTATGATATTAATTTGAACAAAAGCTGGAATGGGGAGCAATGTGGTTTGCTGGTAATGATTTAATACCAAGTTTTATTTACCATTTTAAATAACAAATATTCTATTATTAAGGATAGAGATACAGTGTCCTTACAGGCTGAAGTTATTTTTAAAAGTGTTATCCACAGCTTGAGACAATGTGCATTTATTCCATAGATACAATATGTCACTATTTGAATATTAAATGGAATATTAACTAGACCAAGGAATAGCATAGTATAGTTTAAATTCTGTCCTCTAAGGCAGTGGACATAACTAAACTGAGATGAAAGATAAAAGGTCTCCCTGGATCAAGAGCCATTTAGAATGACATAAAAATAGTGAGAATATGATATAGTTTATGATCTGATAGCAGGTCAGAATTTATTTGTTTTGTTTTGTTGTTTGTTGATCCTATTCCTTATGAACTGTATTACCTTTCAACTCTCAGTTGTAGTTATAATTCTGAAATCTCAGTATATATTTGTGCCATTACTTCAAGTTATCTTCAAATTCTCCTTAATCATATGGCCTTTTTGAAGCCTTTCTGGACGTGATTAGTCTCCTTTCCCAAGAGTTAGATTGTCATTCATATTTGATGTTAATCACATCATCTGGAGTTTAAATGATGGCTGAATTATTTTGATCTCATTTTGCATATTAACCAAGCATACAAACATATATTCCTAATAATTGATCTGGTAAAGAATATTTAAATGCAATTATAATTCACCTGTAAATTATTGTTGGTAAAGTTGAATGCAGCATAAAACACAACTAAATAGAAACACTCCTGAGATTATATGTATACCTTATTTAATAAACTGAAAATACGAACACCTATAATTTACCCCTGAATGATAACATTAAATTACTTCTAATTAGTTACTTAAAAGTTAATTGACTACTTTTGTAAGAGTAACAAATGAAAAGAGATATTGCATTCCCCAAGCATTCTTCAAAAACTTAATGAGGCAATAAAAGCTATGTAAAGCAGGTAATCACTTGTTAATCGATCTGTTATTAGGATCATATTAGAACTAGTATAATATATTTGCTTTCAGATTTCTTTAAAGTGGACAAGGTGGTCACACCCTTCCTGAAAAATCTTTTTAGTCTGTTGCTTAGGTAACTACTTAGCCATTTATTACAATAGAGAGAGTGGTTGACAGATCATTAGTGAAATAAATATATGATCTCTATGAACTCATACCTATCTACATGTACTAAATGTCTTGTGATGTGAGAATACATCACATCTCTCATCAGGTATTATTCTAAAGTGTTTGATGAGAAGAGTGTTATGCTGGGGAAAATAAATGCAAAAAAAACACCATCCTGTGAGAATTAATTTGCTTTGATTTCATTTGCAAATTTCTAGACATATTCAGCAATATTCCTTAGTGAAGCCCACTTGTGAGTTTGCTAGAAGGATAAATGGATGAATTCACCTTTCAGGATTACTTTGTTGGCATCCTTCAAACATGAAAAACTATTAGAATTCATTATAGTGCTTTTACCCCTCCCCCACCCCACCTTTATATTTTAGCCCTAATTATCTCTTTGAGCAAGAGTATGTTTTCAGATATTTCAGTTATAATAGATTCATCCTCATCTACACACCAATATCATCATTCTTTCCTTTCATCATATAATTTGGGAGGAGGTTCTTTCTTCACTATACTAAACTGGAAATCTGAAGTGCCTTTTTGTGAATTGTCTCTCTTCCTTTTATGAACTTTTCAAAAATATTTCCCCCATGATTTTGAAGTAAAACAAAACAAAACAACAAAACCTTTTAGTTTGTTGTAAAGCTTGAAAGACCTATAATATCTGACCTGTCCAAATCAGGCATGCTATTTCTTTTCCATCCTAACAAACAAGAGCATATTAATCATGTAGTAAACTAATAAAGATGATTGCCTGATTAACTCCATGCCCAGAATTAATTACAACAGAAGCAGTTGTTCTTACAACTTAAATTAGAGCTTGTAGATGATATGGGTAGTCAATAAATCACTCTGCTTCTGATATGGTGTTCAAAAACTTGTATTAGACAATCTGATTCACAGCCATAACAGTTCTGTTATCCAGTGGTGATGAGATCCAGACTTATTACTTACATATTAGTCTATAATTATACTAGCCATTTTTTATCAAAGTTGAAATAAGTCAATCAGCATTATAGATTGATATTTTACCTCCTGTGGGCAAACTAGCTATATCATTAATTCTGATTGGGTTTTGTTGCTCATTGTTTTATTAAAGCCTAGGATTGTTAGTGTGTCAAACTGAATAATGCAGTACTGAAGTATTTTATAAGAGGCATCATAAAATAACAGGTACCAATCATCAGGCATAATTATTTTGCTATGTTTCCATAACTTTGCTTATTCTTATTTTCTCTTCTGGTAGATTATCTTCTACATCCTTTTTCATAAAGATGTTCCTTAGTTTAAAAGAAAGGAAATATTTTTATTGCTTTTCTGGACATTTATCATTGCATTTCCTTGTGGAAAAAGTGAAAAAAACAAACAAACAATTTCTCACTAGTTTTATTTACAAACTTTTTTTTCCAGTTTATTGTGATTGATTTTGTGCTGCCGTGCTACTTTTATAACCGTCCTCAAGGTCAAAAACAACTACCTATTTTCCATCAAACCTATCTCCAACAACCTACAATCAAAGTATTTTGCTTGATATTTTTTATTACAAGTTCTCTTTTTGTGTTTGTATGTCATTTTTAAATGCTTATTGATCTATGTGCCATTAGGTTATTAGGTTATTGTGGTGTGATATAACCATTGTGGGTTTTGGTAGTGCCTATCTTATTAGATGATTTTTTTTTTCCTATTTAAACCTTTTAAAGCTGAAAAAAATATTTTCTAACAATTTGGCAATGACTAAAATTCAAAAGGAAATTACACAATTAGTACTTTGTGTGCATAATTATGTTTAATATGTATTTTTTAAGTTTTTTATTTACTGATTTGGAAGATGTTATAGCAGAGGTAATAAATATTTAAGAATTTATGGATATTAGTGCAATTTGTTGTGAATTTTAATGTTCTGCACTTAGTAATATACTTTATTTTTTAACCTTTTAAAAAAAATCCCTCACAGTACATATATATAGTTAGATAGAAGAAATAAATTCAATGTTTGATAGCAGAATAGGATGACTATACTTAACAAAAATATATTATACTCAGGTAATAGACTCGCTAAATACCCAGACTTGATCACTATGCATTATATACATGTAACAAAATTACTCATGTACCCCATAAATTTGTATACATAATAATTTTTAAAAATTCCATTTGGCTTGGCTTGGTGGCTCATGCCTGTAATCCCATCAGTTTGGGAGGCTGAGGCAGGCAGATCACTTGAGGTCGGGAGTTCGAGACCAGCTTGGACAACCCAGTGAAACCCTTGTCTCTACTAAAAATACAAAAATTAGCCAGGAGTGGCGGTGCACACCTGTAATCCCAACTACTCGGGAGGCTGAAGCAGGAGAATCGCTTGAATCTGGGAGATGGAGGTTGCAGTGAGCCAAGTTCATGCCACTGCACTCCAGCCTGAGTGACAGAGCGAGACTCTGTCTCAAAAAGAAAGAAAAAAATGAAAAATAATAAATAAATAAAAATAAAAATTTCATTCAAAGATGTTTTAAGGTTGTAAGCTTAACGTTTTAATATATTAATGATTTTCAGAGATTTTCTCTTGAGAGAGGATTAGGTAACTAGGACTAAATCCCCATCAAGAATAATTAGAAAATTGGGCAAAATATATATTAAAACAACTTATTGGAAGGCGCATTAGTTACATCTTGCTGTACAGAAAACTAACCAAAACTTAATGGCTTAAAATGGTATCAGTATATTTAATTCACAATTCTGTGGGGTTAGAATTTAGGGTATCACGCTGGTATGAGCTATGTTTGGTTGATCATGGCTGAACTCACAGACCTGTCAGTTCATGGGTTGGCTGGAGCTGCTTGGCTGATGTCTGGGATGTCTGGGATGACTGGAATTCCTCTGGACAGGGTTTTTCATGCTCCAGCAGGCTAGCCTGAACTTGTTCCTAAATTGATGGCTTTATTTCCTCGATGTATACTAACGACATAATCCTACTCTTGCAGACTGAAGCACACAACTGAAATCTTTCTCATTAAAGAAATGTTTCCTGAAATATATGAATTATCTTTATTTTGTTTCCTGTTTAACCTCTCTGCTACACTGTCACTGCTGATGCTTTTGTCCATGCTCGTGTCTACCTGTATCCTACTCATTAGTTCCTCATCTGTTATTTTATTTAATAGGCATTTTCTTCAATTTTCCTTTTTTATTTCATTTTTCATTACATTCATCTATTCCTGGCTCTCACTCATTCTATATCGACTACTACCTAAATCTACACTTCAGCATTTCCTTTTTCTCCTTATATCTGGACTAATATTTCTAATTATCAGATGGGCATTTCCAACTGTCTTTTTAGCATCACAAACTCAGTATCCCCAAATGTGAATATATCATATACTTCCATTTATTTGCTCTTTCTCTTGAAGTCCATATTCAATGAATGCAACAAAAGTAAATTAATTACCCAGGCTTGAAACCTGAAATTATGCTTGATTTATCCTTTCTCTTTTTCTGTAAGTCCAAATGAATCTTCCTCTGAAATGCCATTCTAATAGTTTCTCTTGGTTTTCACTCCCTGCAGTAAAGTTTGGTTGTTTGCGGTTGCTTTGCCTACTTTCCACTTTCCTTTCTTTTGAAAGTATATTTCAAATTTGATTTGAGAAGCTAAGTGTTTTGGGTAGAATTATGATAGTACTTTTTCTCTATTCATGGATATTAATTGTAAGCCTAGAATTCCATACTTTTGTCCACAAAAACCAATTTAGTTAGGATATGTGCAAATTTTGACCAAAGAGAATGAATCCCAAACTTACAGAGAAGGTAGAAGTTGAAAGTACAGTTCAAATATATTTTTTTACTTGTGAACCACTTGAGAGTAAGTTGTTGGCTGAATGCTCCATCATTCTGTAAATTTATAGTAATTCCTAAAAACAACATTCTCCTATATAGCAACAATACAACTATCAAAATTAGGAGGTTAACATCAATGTACTAATACCATTGTATTAATTTCCTGATTGTTTCTGCACAAATTACACACATTTATTTTGTTATGGTTTTGTAAATCGAAATCCAAATAACTCTCACTAGGCTAAAATCAAGATATTGGCAGGCAGGGCAGCATTCTTTCTAGATGATCTAGGAAAAAAAAATGTTTTTTTTGTTTTTGTTTTTGTTTTTCCAGCTTCTAGAGTCTGTCTTCATTTCTTGGTTCACAGCCTCCTCCTTCAGTCTTCAAAGCCAGTAGCTTAGCATCTTCAAATGTTTGACTGTAATTCTCTCTCTTTTTATTATAAACATTTTTATGATTACATTTAGTTCACCCAGTTACTCCAGGCTATTCTGTCTATCTCAACATCTGTAATTTAATCACATCTGCAAAGTTTCTTATACCATGTAAAGTAACATTCTAGGTTCTGGGGATTACGATGTGTAAATAATTTGAGGACCACCTTCTGCCTACTATACCACCTAATCTTCAGTACCCATTCAAGTTTTGCCAGTGGTCCCATGCAATATGACACTTACAGCAAAATAATAAATTTTAAATCATGCATTGCATTCAGTCCTCGTCTAATATATCCTCAATATGTGATGTACTTCACTTTACAGCTTATCAGGAGGCCAACAAATTTTAATTTGTCACATTTCTGATAATATTCACTTTGATCACTTAATTAAAGTAGTGTCTACTAAGCTTCCGTACTTTACACCTACTGAGCATTCTGTGCGGAAGTATGTTGAGACTATACAAATATCCCATTCCTCATCAAATTTTTGATTTACTAATTTCTTTATATCAATATGGATATATTATAAAGACTTCCTATTTTATTCAGTGGGTTATATCCTCTTACTATCATTTATTTTATACTCACATTATCTCTGTTATAGACAGTGAAAATCCCTTTAAACTAACTTCTGTGTTCGTTTGACAGGACCTGCCATGCATTGAGAACTTCTGTTTTCTAGCTGTGCTTTGGAATAAGCCATTTCCTCAAGGGAGGTCTAGCTAATTTTGGTGCAGAATGATAATCAGAAACCAACATCTGGATGTTAAGTGTGTTCATTGCTATTGAAGTGCCACTGCTTTTATGTTCTGTCAGAAGACAGAAGAAGAGAATATACATAAACACACACATCGAAAATTATGTATTGATACCGAACCATCAATTCAAGTCTAATACCACTTTTCAGTTTCCCAGGACTAAAATTTTGGGAAAAGAGGAGAAAAAGAACAAGGGAAAGGGAAGGAAAGGCTCAGGAATAATTTTTTTCCGCATGTATTGAAGTGAAACCTAAATACACACACAAAAATTCCCTCATTTTAAGTTCAAAATAAGGAATATTTTTCATCCCTAAATGTTCCTTCATCCCCTTGGCAGTCTTCAGTCCTGACCTCTCGTTTCTTTTCTTTCACTTTGATTTTGCCTTTACTAGAATTAGACACAAAAAGAACCATACAGTATGTAGTCTTTCGTGTTTGGCTTTTTCCATTTAACATAAAGCACTTCAGGTTTCTTTTTGTGTGTATCAGTAGTATGTTGTATTACTGAATAAGATCCCATGGTTCAAATTTATTGCACATATATTGGATATCTGGTTTATTTATTCGTTAGTTAATGATCCTATGAGTTCTTCCTAGGTTTTGTTTTTATAAACAGTTCTGCTACAGACATTTGCTTACAAGTCTTCATGAGAACATAAGTTCTCTTTCCTCTTGGGTAAATAATTAACTTGCTTGCTAAGGGATATAAGTATATGTTTACAAGACATTGGCAAACTGTTTTCCAGAGTGGCTGTACTATTCTGTTTTCACCAACAATGTATGAGAGTTCCAATTGCTCCACATTCTGTCTAGCAGTTGGCATTGTTGGTCTTTTATATTTAATCATTCTTGTGGCTATATAGTGATATCTTATTGGGGATTTACTTTGTATACCCTTGATGGCTAGTAGTGTTAAGCATCTTTTCTCATGTTTGTTGGCCATCTGGGTATATTCATTGGTCAAGCATCTTTTAATATCTTTTGCCACTTTTAAATTGGTTGTTTGTTCTATTATTTGTGAATAATATATATATTTTTTTCTAGAGGCAGAGTCACATTGTGTTACCCAAGCTGGAGTGCAGTGTTGCTATCATAGCTCACTGCAAACTTGAACTCCTGAGTACATGCCATCCTTATACCTCAGCCTCCTGGAGAGATGAGGCTACAGGCATGTGCCATTACCCCTGGCTAATGTTATTTATTTATTTATTTTTTAAAGATGGGGTCTCACTATGTTGCCCAGGCTGGTCTTGAACTAGCAATAGGAGTCCCTTTTTTTGTTTTTTTGCATTTCAGAAAGTTTGTACTAATGTATATTTACTTCAGTAATCTACTTTGTCTGTAGCTTTATTCATAGTTTTTCTTAATTTTAATACGTGTTTGTGAAAAACAGTTGCTTTTAATTTGCTTTTTTTTTTTTAATTTTACTTTAAGCTCGGGGATACATGTGCAGAACATGCAGGTTTGATACATAGGTATACAGTGCCGTGGTGGTCTGCTGCACCTATTGACCCATCTGTCAAGTTCCCTCCCCTGGCCCCCCATCCCTCAACAGGCCCTACTGTGTATTGTTCCTCTCCCTGTGTCCATGTGTTCTCATTGTTCAACTCCTGCTTATGAATGAGAACATGGGGTGTGTGGTTTTCTGTTCCTCTGTTAGTTCGCTGAGGATGATGGCTTCCAGCTTCATCCATGTCCCTGCAAAGGACACGATTTCATTCCTTTTTATGGCTGCATAGGATTCCATGTGTATATGTACCAGATTTTCTTTATCCAGTCTATCATTGATGGGCATTTGGATTGGTTCCATGATTTTGCTATTGTAAATAGTGTTGCAATAAACATGCGTGTGCATGTGTCTTTATAGTAGAATGATTTATAATATATTTATATTCCTTTGTCTATATACTCAATGAGGGGATTGCTGGGTCAAATGGTATTTCTGGTTCTAGATTATTGAGGAATTGCCTTACTGTCTTCCACAATGTTTGAATTAATTTACATTCCCACCAACAGCGTGAAAGCATTCCTATTTCTCCACAGCCTTGCCAGCATCTATTTTTTCTTGACTTTTTAATAATTGCCATTCTGACTGGCATGAGAGAGTATCTCGTTGGGGTTTGATTTGCATTTCTTTTTTTTTTTTTAATTATTATTATACTTTAAGTTTTTGGGTACATGTGCACAATGTGCAGGTTAGTTACATATGTATACATGTGCCATGCTGGTGTGCTGCACCCATTAACTCGTCATTTAGCATTAGGTATATCTCCTAATGCTATCCCTCTCCCCTCCCCCCACCCACAACAGTCCCCAGAGTGTGATGTTCCCCTTCCTGTGTCCATGTGTTCTCATTGTTCAATTCCCACCTATGAGTGAGAACATGCGGTGTTTGGTTTTTTGTCCTTGCGATAGTTTACTGAGAATGATGATTTCCAATTTCATCCATGTCCCTACAGAGGACATGAACTCATCATTTTTTATGGCTGCATAGTATTCCATGGTGTATATGTGCCACATTTTCTTAATCCACTCTATCATTGTTGGACATTTGGGTTGGTTCCAAGTCTTTGCTATTGTGAATAGAGCCGCAATAAACATACGTGTGCATGTGTCTTTATAGCAGCATGATTTATAGTCCTTTGGGTATATACCCAGTAATGGGATGGCTGGGTCAAATGGTATTTCTAGTTCTAGATGCCTGAGGAATCGCCACACTGACTTCCACAATGGTTGAACTAGTTTATAGTCCCACCAGCAGCGTAAAAGTGTTGCTATTTCTCCACATGCTCTCCAGCACCTGTTGTTTCCTGACTTTTTAATGATTGCCATTCTAACTGGTGTGACATGGTATCTCATTGTGGTTTTGATTTGCATTTCTCTGATGGCCAGTGATGATGAGCATTTTTTCATGTGTCTTTTGGCTGCATAAATGTCTTCTTTTGAGAAGTGTCTGTTCATATCCTTTGCCCACTTTTTGATGGGGTGGTTTGTTTTTTTCTTGTAAATTTGTTTGAGTTCATTGTAGATTCTGGATATTAGCCCTTTGTCAGATGAGTAGGTTGTGAAAATTTTCTCCCATTTTGTAGGTTTCCTGTTCACTCTGATGGTAGTTTCTTTTGCTGTGCAGAAGCTCTTGAGTTTAATTAGATCCCATTTGTCAATTTTGGCTTTTGTTGCCATTGCTTTTGGTGTTTTAGACATGAAGTCCTTGCCCGTGCCTATGTCCTGAATGGTAATGCCTAAGTTTTCTTCTAGGGTTTTTATGGTTTCAGGTCTAATGTTTAAGTCTTTAATCCATCTTGAATTAATTTTTATATAAGGTGTAAGGAAGGGATCCAGTTTCAGCTTTCTACATATGGCTAGCCAGTTTTCCCAGCACCATTTATTAAATAGGGAATCATTTCCCCATTGCTTGTTTTTCTCAGGTTTGTCAAAGATCAGATAGTTGTAGATATGCGGCGTTATTTCTGAGGTCTCTGTTCTGCTCCATTGATCTATATCTCTGTTTTGGTACGAGTTCCATGCTGTTTTGGTTCCTGTAGCCTTGTAGTATAGTTTGAAGTCAGGTAGTGTGATGCCTCCAGCTTTGTTCTTTTGGCTTAGGATTGACTTGGCGATGCAGGCTCTTTTTTGGTTCCATATGAACTTTAAAGTAGTTTTTTCCAATTCTGTGAAGAAAGTCATTGGTAGCTTGATGGGGATGGCATTGAATCTATAAATTGCCTTGGGCAGTATGGCCATTTTCACGATATTGATTCTTCCTACCCATGAGCATGGAATGTTCTTCCAATTCTTTGTATCCTCTTTTATTTCATTGAGCAGTGGTTTGTAGTTCTCCTTGAAGAGGTCCTTCACGTCTCTTGTAAGTTGGATTCCTAAGTATTTTATTCTCTTTGAAGCAATTGTGAATGGGAGTTCACTCATGATGTGGCTCTCTGTTTGTCTGTTACTGGTGTATAAGAATGCTTGTGATTTTTGTACATTGATTTTGTATCCTGTGACTTTGCTGAAGTTGCTTATCAGCTTAAGGAGACTTTGGGCTGAGACAATGGAGTTTTCTAGATATACAATCATGTCATCTGCAAACAGGGACAATTTGACTTCCTCTTTTCCTAATTGAATACCCTTCATTTCCTTCTCCTGCCTAATTGCCCTGGCCAGAACTTCCAACACTATGTTGAATAGGAGTGGTGAGAGAGGGCATCCCTGTCTTGTGCCTGTTTTCAAAGGGAATGCTTCCAGTTTTTGCCCATTTAGTATGATATTGGCTGTGGGTTTGTCATAGATAGCTCTTATTATTTTGAGATATGTCCCATCAATATCTAATTTATTGAGAGTTTTTAGCATGAAGAGTTGTTGAATTTTGTCAAAGGCCTTTTCTGCATCTATTGAGATAATCATGTGGTTTTTGTCTTTGGTTCTGTTTATAAGCTGGATTACACTTATTGATTTGCATACATTGAACCAGCCTTGCATCCCAGGGATGAAGCCCACATGATCATGGTGGATAAGCTTTTTGATGTGCTGCTGGATTTGGTTTGCCAGTATTTTACTGAGGATTTTTGCATCAATGTTCATCAAGGATATTGGTCTAAAATTCTCTTTTTTGGTTGTGTCTCTGCCTGGCTTTGGTATCAGAATGATGCTGGCCTCATAAAATGAGTTAGGGAGGATTCCCTCTTTTTCTATTGATTGGAATAGTTTCAGAAGAAATGGTACCAGTTCCTCCTTGTACCTCTGGTAGAATTCGGCTGTGAAGCCATCTGGTCCTGGACTCTTTTTGGTTGTTAAGCTATTGATTATTGCCACAATTTCAGATCCTGTTATTGGTCTATTGAGAGATCAACTTCTTCCTGGTTTAGTCTTGGGAGAGTGTATGTGTCGAGGAATTTATCCATTTCTTCTAGATTTTCTAGTTTATTTGCGCAGAGGTGTTTGTAGTATTCTCTGATGGTAGTCTGTATTTCTGTGGGATCGGTGGTGATATCCCCTTTATCAATTTTTATTGCATCTATTTGATTCTTCTCTCTTTTTTTCTTTATTAGTCTTCCTAGTGGTCTATCAATTTTGTTGATCCTTTCAAAAAACCAGCTCCTGGATTCATTAATTTTTTGAAGGGTTTTTTGTGTCTCTATTTCCTTCAGTTCTGCTCTGATTTTAGTTATTTCTTGCCTTCTGCTAGCTTTTGAATGTGTTTGCTCTTGCTTTTCTAGTTCTTTTAATTGTGATGTTAGGGTGTCAATTTTGGATCTTCCCTGCTTTCTCTTGTGGGCACCTAGTGCTATAAATTTCCCTCTACACACTGCTTTGAATGTGTCCCAGAGATTCTGGTATGTTGTGTCTTTGTTCTCGCTGGTTTCAAAGAACATCTTTATTTCTGCCTTCATTTCTTTATGTACCCAGTAGTCATTCAGGAGCAGGTTGTTCAGTTTCCATGTAGTTGAGTGGTATTGAGTGAGTTTCTTAATCCTGAGTTCTAGTTTGATTGCACTGTGGTCTGAGAGACAGTTTGTTATAATTTCTGTTCTTTTATATTTGCTGAGGAGAGCTTTACTTCCAAGTATGTGGTCAATTTTGGAATAGGTGTGGTGTGGTGCTTAAAAAAATGTATATTCTGTTGATTTGGGGTGGAGAGTTCTGTAGATGTCTATTAGGTCCGCTTGGTGCAGAGCTGAGTTCAATTCCTGGGTATCCTTGTTAACTTTCTGTCTCGTTGATCTGTCTAATGTTGACAGTGGGGTGTGAAAGTCTCCCATTATTATTGTGTGGGAGTCGAAGTCTCTTTGTAGGTCTCTAAGGACTTGCTTTATGAATCTGGGTGCTCCTGTGTTGGGTGCATATATATTTAGGATAGTTAACTCTTCTTGTTGAATTGATCCCTTTACCATTATGTAATGGCCTTCTTTGTCTCTTTTGATCTTTGTTGGTTTAAAGTCTGTTTTATCAGAGACTAGGATTGCAACCTCTGCCTTTTTTTGTTTTCCATTTGCTTGGTAGCTCTTCCTCCATCCTTTTATTTTGAGCCTATGTGTGTCTCTGCACGTGAGATGGGTTTCCTGAATACAGCACACTGATGGGTCTTGACTCTTTAGCCAATTTGCCAGTCTGTGTCTTTTAATTGGAGCATTTAGTCCATTGACATTTAAAGTTAATATTGTTATGTGTGAATTTGATCCTGTCATTATGATGTTAGCTGGTGATTTTGCTCGTTAGTTGATGCATTTTCTTCCTAGTCTCGATGGTCTTTACATTTTGGCATGATTTTGCAGCGGCTGGTACTGGTTGTTCCTTTCCATGTTTAGTACTTCCTTCAGGAGCTCTTTTAGGGCAGGCCTGGTGGTGACAAAATCTCTCAGTATTTGCTTTTATGTAAAGTATTTTATTTCTCCTTCACTTATGAAGCTTAGTTTGGCTGGATATGAAATTCTGGGTTGAAAATTCTTTTCTTTGAGAATGTTGAATATTGGCCCCCACTCTTCTGGCTTGTAGAGTTTCTGCCAAGAGATCCGCTGTTAGTCTGATGGGCTTCCCTTTGTGGGTAACCCGACCTTTCTCTCTGGCTGCCCTTAACATTTTTTCCTTCATTTCAACTTTGGTGAATCTGACAATTATGTGTCTTGGAGTTGCTCTTCTCAAGGAGTATCTTTGTGGCCTTCTCTGTATTTCCTGAATTTGAATGTTTGCCTGCCTTGCTAGATTGGGGAAGTTCTCCTGGATAATATCCTGCAGAGTGTTTTCCAACTTGGTTCCATTTTCTCTGTCACTTTCAGGTACACCAATCAGACACAGATTTGGTCTTTTCATATAGTCCCATATTTCTTGGAGGCTTTGTTCATTTCTTTTTATTCTTTTTTCTCTAAACTTCCCTTCTCGCTTCATTTCATTCATTTCATCTTCCATCACTGATACCCTTTCCTCCAGTTGATCGCATCGGCTCCTGAGGCTTCTGCATTCTTCACGTAGTTCTTGAGCCTTGGCTTTCAGCTCCATCAGCTCCTTTAAGCACTTCTCTGTATTTGTTATTCTAGTTATACATTCGTCTTAATTTTTTTCAAAGTTTTCAACTTCTTTTCCTTTGGTTTGAATTTCCTCCTGTAGCTCGGTGTAGTTTGATCGTCTGAAGCCTTCTTCTGTCAAGTCGTCAAAGTCATTCTCCATCCAGCTTTGTTCCGTTGCTGGTGAGGAACTGCATTCCTTTGGAGGAGGAGAGGTGCTCTGCTTTTTAGAGTTTCCAGTTGTTCTGCTCTGTTTTTTCCCCATCTTTGTGGTTTTATCTACTTTTGGTCTTTGATGATGGTGATGTACAGATGGGTTTTTGGTGTGGATGTCCTTTCTGTTTGTTAGTTTTCCTTCTAACAGACAGGACCCTCAGCTGCAGGTCTGTTGGAGTTTGCTAGAGGTCCACTCCAGACCCTGTTTGCCTGGGTATCAGCGGTGGTGTCTGCAGAACTGTGGATTTTCGTGAACCGGGAATGCTGCTGTCTGATGGTTCCTCTGGAAGTTTTGTCTCAGAGGAGTACCCCGCTGTGTGAGGTGTCAGTCTGCCCCTACTGGAGCGTGCCTCCCAGTTAGGCTGCTCAGGGGTCAAGCGTCAGGGACCCACTTGAGGAGACAGTCTGCCTGTCCTCAGATCTCCAGCTGAATGCTGGGAGAACCATTGCTCTCTTCAAAGCTGTCAGACAGGGACATTTAAGTCTGCAGAGGTTACTGCTGTCTTTTTGTTTGTCTGTGCCCTGCCCCCAGAGGTGGAGCCTACAGAGGCAGGCAGTCCTCCTTGAGCTGTGGTAGGCTCCACCCAGTTCGAGCTTCCCGGCTTCTTTGTTTACCTAAGCAAGCCTGGGCAATGGCGGGCGCCCCTCCCCCAGCCTTGCTGCCGCCTTGCAGTTTGATCTCAGACTGCTGTGCTAGCAATCATTGAGACTCCGTGGGCGTAGGACCCTCTAAGCCAGGTGCGGGATATAATTTCCTGGTGCGCCATTTCCTAAGCCCATCGGAAAAGCGCAGTATTTGTGTGGGAGTGACCTGATTTTCCAGGTGCTGTCTGTCACCCCTTTCCTTGACTGGGAAAGGGAACTCCCTGACCCCTTGCGCTTCCTGAGTGAGGCAATGCCTCGCCCTGCTTTGGCTCGCGCACGATGCGCTGCCCCCACTGTCCTGCGCCCATTGTCTGGCACTCCCTAGTGAGATGAACCCGGTACCTCAGATGGAAATGCAGAAATCACCCATCTTCTGCATCCTTCACGCTAGAAGCTGTAGACCGGGGCTGTTCCTATTCGGCCATCTTGGCTCCTCCCCCTCCTGATGGTTTGCATTTCTCTAATGATTAGTGATGTTGAGCTTTTTTTCGTGTTTGTTGGCCACATAAATGTCATCTTTTGAGAAGTGCCTGTTCATATACTTTGCCGACTTTTTGACGTGGTTGTTTGCTGTTTTCTTATAAATTTGTTTAAGTTCTTTGTAGATTCTGGATATTAGACCTTTGTCACATGGGTACGCAATAAAAAATGATAAAGTGGATATCAAAGAATTGCAAAGACCTTTTCTGCATCTATTGAGATAATCATGTGGTTTTTGCCTTTGGTTCTGTTTATATGTTGGCCTGAAGTTTTTTTCGTTGTTGTTGTGGTGGTGTCTCTTCCAGGTTTTGGTATCAGGATGATGCTGGCTTCATAAAATCAGTTAGGGAGGAGTCTCTCCTTTTCAGTTGTTTGGAATAGTTTCAGAAGGAATGGTACCAGCTCCTCTTTGTACCTCTGGTAGAATTCGGCTTTGAATCTGTCTGGTACTGGAATTTTTTTTGGTTGGTAGTAATTACTGTCTCAATTTCACAACTTGTTATTGGTCTATTCTGGGATTCAACTTCTTCCTGGCTTAGTCTTGGGAGGGTGTATATGTCCAGGAAATTATCCATTACTTCTGGATATTCTATCACAGTTCATTTGTGTCAAGGTGTTTATAATATTTTCTGATGGTAGTTTGTATTTCTGTGGGGTTAGTGGTGATATCCCCTTTATCATTTTTTATTGCGTCTATTTGATTTTTCTCTCTCTTCTTCTTTATTATTCTGGTGGTCTATCTATTTTGTTAATTTTTTCAGAAAACCAGCTCCTGGATTCATTGATTGTTTTGAAGGGTTTTTCACTTCTCTAGCTCCTTCAGTTCTGTTCTGATCTTAGTTATTTCTTGTCTTCAGCTAGCTTTCGGATTAATTTGCTCCTGCCTCTCTAGCTCTTTTAATTGTGATGTTAGGGTGTTGATTCGAGATCTTTCTAGCTTTCTGAAACGGGCATTTAGTGCTATAAATTTCCCTGTTAACACTGCTTTATCTGTGTCCCAGAGATTCTGAGATGTTGTCTCTTTGTTCTCATTGGTTTCAAAGAACTTCTTGATTTCTGCTTTAATTTCATTATTTACCCAGGATTCATTCAGGAGCAGGTTGTTCAATGTCCATGTAAGTGTGTGAGTGAGTTTCTTAATCCTGAGTTCCAATTTGATTGCACTGTGGTCTGAGACTGTTTGTTATGATTTCAGTTCTTTTGCCTTTGCTGAGGAGTGTTTTACTTCCAATTATATGGTTGATTTTAGAATAAATGCCATGTGGCACTGAGAAGAATGCATATTCTATTGATTTGAGATGGAGAGTTCTGTAGATGTCTATTAAGTCCACTGGATCCAGAGCTGAGTTCAAGTCCTGAATGTCCTTGTTAATTTTCTGTCTCGTTGGTCTATCTAATATTGACAGTGGGGTGTTAAAATCTCCCACTATTCTTGTGTGGGCATCTAAGTATCTTTGTAGGTCTCTAAGAACTTGTTTTATGAATCTGGGTGCCCCTGCATTGGGTGCATATATATTTAGAATAGTTAGCTCTTCTTGTTGAATCATTCCCTTTACCATTATGTAATGCCCTTCTTTGTCTTTTCTGATCTTTGTTCATTTAAAGTTTGTTTTCTCAGAGACTAGGATTGCAACTCCTGCTTTTTTTGGTTTTCCATTTGCTTGGTAAATTTTCTTCCATCCCTTTATTTTGAGCTTAGGTGTGTGTTTACACATGAGATGGGTCTCCCAAATACAGCCCACCGATGGCTCTTGACTATCCAATTAGCCAGTCTGTGTCTTTTAATTGGAGCATTTAGTCCATTTACATTTAAGGTTAGTATTGTTATATGTGAATTTGAACCTGTAATCATGATGCTATCTGATTATTTTGCACACTAGTTGCTACAGTTTCTTCATAGTGTCATTGGCCTTTATACTTTGGTGTGTTTTTTGCAGTGGCTGGTACCAGTTTTTCTTTTCCATATTTAGTGCTTCTTTCAGGAGCTCTTGCAAGGCAGGCCTGTTGGTAATGAAATCCCTCAGCATTTGCTTGTCCGAAAAGGATTTTATTTCTCCTTCACTTATGAAGCTTAGTTTGGCTGGATATAAAATTCTGGGTTGAAAATTCTTTTCTTTAAGAATGTTGAATATTGGCCCCCAGTCTTTTCTGGCTTGTAGAGTTTCTGCTGAGAGGTCCACTGTTAGTCTGATGGGCTTCCCTTTGTTGGTGATCTGACCTTTCTCTATGGTTGCCCTGAACATTTTTCTTTCCTTTTGACCTTGGAGAATCTGATGATATGTGTCTTGGAATTGATTTTCTTGTGGAGTATCTTAGTGGTGTTCTCCTTCTTTCCTGAATTTGCATGTTGGCCTGTCTTGCTAGGTTGGGGAACTTCTCCGGCATAATATCCTGAAGTGTGTTTTCCAGCTCCCTCTCTCTTTCAGGTACTCCAATCAGTCATAGGTTCAGTCTTTGTATAAAGTCCCATATTTCTTGGAGGCTTTGTTTGTTCCTTTTTATTATTATTATTATTTTTTCTAATCTTATCTGCATGCCTTATTTCAGCAAGGTGGTCTTCAAACTCTGATATCCTTTCTTCCACTTGGTTGATTTGTCTATTGATACATGAAGTTCTTGTACTGTGTTTTTCAGCTCCATCAGTTCATTTATGGTCCTCTCTAAACTGGTTATTCTAGTTAGCAGCTCCTCTAACCTTTTATCAAGGTTCTTAGCTTCTTTGCATTGGATTAGAACATGCTCCTTTAGCTCAGTGGAGTTTTTAATTACCCATCTTCTGAAGCCTACTTCTGTCAATTCATCCATCTCATCCTCCGTCCAGTTCTGTGCCCTTGCTAGAGACATATTGTGATCATTTGGAGGAGAAAAGGCACTCTGGCCTTTTGGATTTTCAGCATTTTTTTGTTGATTATTTCTCATCTTCATGAGTTTGTCTAGTTTCAATCTTTGAGGCTGCTGACCCTTGGATGGGGTTTTTGTAGGGACTTTTTTGTTGTTGATGCTGTCGTCGTTGCTTTGTGTTTGTTTTTCTTTCCATGGTCAGGTCCCTCTTCTGTAGGGCTGCTGCAGTTTGCTGGGGGTTCACTTTAGGCACTATTCATCTGGTTTGCTCCCGCACCTGGAGATGTCACTCAGCAAGGCTGGAGAACAGCAAAGATGGTTGCCTGCTCATTCTTCTGGGATCTCTAACCTTGATGGGCACACACCTGATGCCAGTAGGATCGCTCCTGTATAGGGTGTCTGACAACCCCTGTTGGAGGGTCTCACCAAGTTGAGTGGCACAGGGAACAGGACCCATTTAATGAAGCACTTTTACTGTCCCTTGGTGGAGGGGGTGTGCTTCGCTGGGGAAACCCACTCATCTGGGCTGCTTGGATTCTTCAGAACTACCAGGAAGAAAGGCTAAGTCTGCTGGTCTGCAGAGACTGTGGCCACCTCCCACCCAGGGGCTCAGGCCCAGGGAGATCCGGGTTCCGTCCCTGAGCCTCTGGGTGGAGTTGTTGGAGTTCTTGCAGGGAAGCCCCTCCCAGTGAGGAAGGATGTGTCAGGGTCAGCCCTGAAGAGGCCCTCTGGCTGCAGTCTGCCGCAACTGGTATGTTGGACTCTGGGGGACATCTCTTGGGGACCAAGCCATCCAGCTTCCCTGGCTCTAGCAGGGGAAAAACGTGGCTTGGAGCTATAGAGATGGATGCTGCCCTTCCCTCGCCCCGGGAGCTTAGTGTGTTAGGCAGTTATGAGTCCCAGTACTGGCTGATGCCCCTCCTCCAAGGAGCTCAAAAGGCTTAGGCAGCAGGCAGCCACAGTTGTGGTGCTGGTCGCCTCTCCTCCTGGGGAGCTCGCAGGCTTATGCAGATTTCAGCTGACAGGCTGTTGAGAATCTGCACAGCTCTGGGGTTGGGAACCTAGGCCCCAGTGGCATGGGTTTGCCAGTGGGATTTTGCCATCTGTGGGTTGCATGGTTCTGTAGAAAAAGCACGGTTTCCCCAGCTGGATAGCACACTCACTCACTGCCTCCCTTGGCTAGGGGTCGGGGGCTCCCCTTCTCTATGTGGCTCTCAGGTGGGTGGTGCACCACACTGCTCTTTCTTGCTCTCTGTGGATCACATCAGTCACCTAGTCAGTTCTGATGAGAGAATCTGGATGATACCATGGTTGCCAATGAAGGATTCACATGCTAATTAACGGTTCTTTTCGATGACAGCCTCTGATATCCGCTGTTTCTAGTTGGCCATCTTGGCCCCATCCCCAGGAGTTCTTTATATATCCTGGATACATGTCCCTTTCTAGGTATGCTTTGCAAACAGTTTCCCATAGTCCGTAGTTTGTTTTCTTAACTGTGTTTTTCAAAGAGCAAAGGCTTTTAATTTTGATAAAGTATAATTACAATCTTTTCTTTATATAGCTTACGCTCTTTGTGTTCTATTTAAAAAATTATTGCCTACTTCAATGTTACAAATTTTTTTTCTTGTTTTTCCAAACATTTTATTGTTTTAGCTTTTTCATTAGGATACAGAGTATATTTTGAAGTGATTTATGCATATAGTATGAGATAACATATGAGGCTTGTTTTTTTCCCACATAGACATTTGGGTGTTCCATCTCCATTTGTTGAAAGACTGTTCTTTCCTCCATTGAATTCTTTTGGCAACTTGACCATATAAGTAACAGTCTATTTATTGATTTTATTCTATACCGCTGATCTCTAGATCTATTAAACTAGCTTGATTATAGCAGTATAAGTTATTCAGCTTTCCTTTTACTTAAACAATTTTTATTTTGCCAAGTTCTTTTTCTTTCTGTGTGAATTTTGGAATAGGCTTGTCAGTTTCTTGAGAAAAGATTGAGACATCTTATTCAACATTTTATAGGTCATAAATCTGGTATAATGTATGCCTGGACCTATTGCTGACATCTTGTAATTATATGGAGGTTAAGAATAAAGCGGACATTGAGTAGTATAGAAATAGGAAGATAAATTGGATTGAAGTGATATCTTTTGAGCCTACAGAATTAAGCAGCTTCTTGATTTTTAGTTATATGATAAAATAAATTCTATTTTTTTGAATAAACCCCAATCTAACTTCTTTTAATTTTTTTGATCCCTTACAAATAACAGTTCTAAATTTCACACAATAATTCTAGTTCAGACTTTAAAAAAAAAAAAAAATCTCTTCCAGGGCTGTGGTCCCCCATACAAATCTGTTTTCACAGCCATGAGCTCAGATAATGTTAATAAGCTTCTCAACATGTGTTTTAAAAATCCCAAATTTTTGATCATGGAATTTAAGACTGTCCATTATTGGGCCTTGTTATAATTTTTTAAGTGCATCTTTTATACCGTCTACCTCACCTAATACAATGTTTTGTCGCATCATACTTTCTCATTTTATCTCTAACGCACCCTGTAAAAGCTCTCCTCTGAAACTCTTTTTTAAAATTTTTGCTACTGCTTCAAAATTTGGGAGCTTATTCCATCTGTCTTTGACAGTTGAAATCTTAGATGTACTACATGTTCATAATCCCCACATGTTTTACTAGATCTCACAATTAGAATGAGTCCTTCCCTCGTCCATCCTCGAGGTGACTAGGGGACTTTCTGCCTCTGTGATAACAGTTATCGTAAATTGTGGGCCTATTCCTGTAACTATAGAAGTTCTTTAATTCAGGACTTTATAAAGATGGCAAGAAGGTAACACAAAATGAATTTTCACCATGTTGTTTTGTGCACATCTCTCTGTCCCTCTAGAATGTGAAATTTCTAAAGAACAAGGACCACCTTTGTGTCCTCCAAAGCACCTGGAAAAATGCCTTATGCAAAGTATTTGTTAAATCAATTCTAAAATGAAACTAATAGCAGAGTCTTCTTAATTTTTAAAATTTTATTGTAAACTGAAAATTTATAGTTGTATATTTTTGTGGTAGAAAGTGATGTTAACATTTATGAAAACAGTGTGAAATAATTAAATTAAGCTAATTAACATACCCAACACCTCAATAACAACAGCAATAACCACTTTGAAGCTTTAAATACGACTGATACTTGTAGCCCTGTTTCTTTGTAGTTCCCATGAAATTAGGAATTTGGGGGTCTATTTTAGATACTATAGGCCTGTTAGTTTTGAAGGGAAACTTTGTTGCTATTTCTGGTCTTTTTTTTCTAAAGCATATATGTTATTTATGGTTTCACTCTTTTAGGATCATATGGACTGACATTCTAATGAAACCAAAGGTACTTAAACTGTAAGCAATTCACATTATTTATATATAAGTTTAGACATATTAATACACTTCTATACATTCATTAACAAACATATGTTTTCAGAATAAGATTACACAAGTAGAAAATCCTGTTTGATTACTTTAAACTTCATGTGGAACCAAAAAAGAGCCCGCATAACCAAGACATTCCTGGGCAAGAAGAATTGAGGCATCACACTACCTGACTTCAAATTATACTACGAGGCTACACTAACCAAAACAGCATGGTACTTGTACCAAAACAGATATATAGACCAATAGAAGAGAACAGAGGCCTCAGAAATAACAGTACACATCTACAACAATCTGATCTTTGACAAACTCGACACAAACAAGCAATGGGGAAAAGATTCCCTATCTAATAAATGATGTTGGGAAACCTGGCTAGCCATATGCAGAAAACTGAAACTGGACCCCCTCCTTACACCTTATATAAAAATCAACTCAAGATGGATCAAATACTTAAATGTAAGACCTAGTACCATAAAAATCCTAGAAGAAAGCACAGGCAATACCATTCAGGACATAGGCATGGGCAAAGACTTCATGTCTAAAACACCAAAAGCAATGGCAACAAAAGCCAAAATTGACGAACGGGATCTAATTAAACTAAAGAGCTTCTGCACAGCAAAAGAAACCATCATCAGAGTGAACAGGCAACCTACAGAATGGGAGAAAATTTTTGCAATCTATCCATCTGACAAAGGGCTAATATCCAGAATCTACAAGAACTTAAACAAAATTATAAGAACTTAAACAAATTTACAAGAATCTACAAGAACTTAAACAAATTTAAGTAAACTTAAACAAATTTACAAATCTACAAGAACTTAAACAAATTTATAACCCCATAAAAAGTGGGCAAAGGATTTGAACAGACACTTCTCAAAAGAAGACATGCGGCCAACAGACGTGAAAAAATGTCTTCAAAAGAAGACATTTATGCAGCCAACAGACGTGTGAAAAAATGCTCCTCATCACTGGTCATCAGAGAAATGCAAATCAAAACCACAATGAGATATCATCTCATGCCAGTTAGAATGGCAATCATTAAAAGTCAGGAAACAACAGATGCTGGAGAGGTTGTGGAAAAATAGGAACGCTTTTACACTGTTGGTGAGAGTGTAAATTAGTTCAACCATTGTGGAAGACAGTGTGGTGATTCCTCAAGGATCTGTAAGTAGAACAGATTTGACCCAGCAATCCCATTACTGCGTATATACCCAAAGGATTATAAATCATTCTACTATAAAGACACCTGCACAAATATGTTTATTGCAGCACTATTCACAATAGCAAAGACTTGGAACCAACCCAAATGTCCATCAATAATAGACTGGATAAAGAAAATGTGGCACATATATACTATGGAATACTATGCAGCCATAAAAAAGGATGAGTTCATGTCCTTTGCAGGGACATGGATGAAGTTGGAAACCATCATTCTCAGCAAACTAACACAGGAACAGAAAAAGAAACACCACATGTTCTCATTTATAAGTGGGAGTTGAACACATCGACATAGGGAGGGGAACATCACACACCAGGGCCTGTCGGGGCATAGGGGGCTAGGGGAGGGATAACATTAGGAGATATACCTAATGTAGGTGATGGGTTGATGGGTGCAACAAACCACCATGGCATCTGTATACCTTTGTAACAAAACTGCACGTTCTGCACATGTACCCCAGAACTTAAAAGTATAATTAAAAAAAAAAAAGAAAATACTGTTTGAAAATTTACTGTATGTTATACCCAGACCAGGAGTTTTTTAATCAATTTTGAAAGATTTTTCACTTCTTCATTTTAGTGTAAGAAGTTGGATGGCAATGACCAGTAAAGGTCTACTTAGTCCATACATAGCCATGGGCCTATTCCTATAAGTATAGAAGATTTTTATTTCATAACTTTATAAAGATGGCAAGGAGGTAAAATAAAATGAATTTATACCATGTACTGAGACTACAGAAGATATGATACATAGAGTTTACTTAATAAGCACTAACATATAAATGTAACCTGCACAAACTCTATAGTATAGTTTTTCTATTTTATTTCTAATACTCTATTAAAGAAGAGGTGACTATTCTAAGTCTGCTGTGGCCAAGGTAAGGGTGTATGCGTCCTGTTTCTTTTATTGTCATTGAAATTGTGGCATGCCAGAACTGGCTTGTGTAGCCCCCGAGGAACAAATGTTAAATGTTCAGGAATTTTGCATGTCAGTTGTTAAAACATTGGTAGCTTGAAGTTGGCCCTAGTGTAGGTATTCACACAATGGATGTTGGCAATGCTACAAATTAGAGGTCCTGTATACCCTTTCACCCGGGAAACTGGTTTATCCATATTCCACTGATCGTAATAGTTATGGGTACTCTTATGTTTGTTTCATGCTGTTCTTGTTCCAGACTAGTCTAAGCAGTGGCTTACCTTGAAGATCTTGCCGTTTTTCAGTGTAATTATCCTCTTGGGTACAGGGTTTCCCAAAATGCTGGGTGTCCAAGAAGACCCCTCTTGCTTATGTGTGACCTTGGGAAGTTGTTAAGTTGCTACCCAATTGGTATTAAGCAAAGTCTGGCAGATCTGATGTGCTTTGTTACTGCAGCTTAGTCAACCAAGGAAATGTTAGTCCGAACAGCAGCATCTAACTGAAGCTGAATCAAACTAAGTTTTCTGAGGCTTTGGCAAAAGAGCAGTTTTTCTGACTGTGGTCCTTACCAGGTCTCTTGTTATAAATTAATGATTTATATTCTTTATTTGACCTACCTTGCCTCCATCCTCATCCAAACTTTTTTCTCTTCTTACAGCTTTAAATGAAGAAATGAAATGTTCTTTTCTTGTATTTGTAGTTGAACAGTTCATAATGTCATTGAATGTCATTTCTAATATTTAGCTCTTTCCCAATGCAGTTTGCTGAATGTTCCTTATCTGAGAATTATCTCTCTAAACCTGCAACACAGATTTCAAGTCTCAGCTTTCCGAATATCTTACCCATCAGTGTTTAGCCACTACTCCACTAAAACTTACTGACAGTGAGATAATAGCACATGGGGAAATTGGAACTGGGAGTCTGGAATAGTTAGGTCCTCTGGTCTTCACCATGGGCCAGGGTCCTCCCGCCACCTCAGCCTCTGGGGTCAGAAAGAGCTGTCAGAGAGAACACTTGTTCTTAGTTATGGGGAGGCGTGAGAGAGTTTCTACCCTTCAAAAGCACTCTGACCTGAATCCTCAACCCTAGCCATACTGTGGTAGAGAGCTTGGCTCACTCTGCTGCCCTGGGTTTGGGTGAAATGGTCCATTTAATTCAGCAGTCCCCAACCTTTTTGCCACCAGGGACTGGTTTCCTGGAAGACAGTTTTTTCACGGACTGGATTGGGGGATGGTTTTGGGATGATTCAAGTGCATTATGTTTATTGTGCACTTTATTTATATTATTAATTCATTGTAATATATAATGAAATAATTATACAACTCACCATCATGTAGAATCAGTGGGAGCCTTTAGATCATTTTCTTGCAACTAGATGGTCCTATCTAGAAGTGACAGGAGACAGTGACAGATCCTCAGGCATTAGATTCTCACAAGGAGCATACAACCTAGATCCCTCACATGCACAGTTTACAATAGGGTTCATGGCTCCTAGGAGAATCTAATGCTGCTGCCTCTGATAGGAGGCAGAGCTCAGGCGGTAATGCAAGTGATGGGGAGCAGCTGTAAATACAGATGAAGCTTTGCTTGCTCGCCCGCTGCTCACCTCCATGGCCTGGGGGGTTGGGGACCCCTGGTTTAATTGATGTTTACATCATACTCCTACTTTTAGGGAATTGGGTAACCTGTGTCTTCCTTCTTGCCCAGCATGGGGGTCTGAGACAGGGAGGTCACATATTTGGAGGGCATTGATTATCTCTCTGGGCAGTACTGAGTTACTTGTTACCCCTGTTAAAGAGAGAGAATTTACCCCTATTAACAAGTTAGTCTTGTTACCCCTATTAAAGAGAGAGAATCTTCATCTATTTGCTTTTCTACCGGAAGGATAGATATATCATGTTCTGAGATTTTATAAAGCTGTACACATCTATGAAGTCTGAGAATAACACGGAAAGTTATTGGAGAGAACATAACAGACAGTGAGCTCTGCCTTCCTTCCCCAGTTTTGCTTATTGTTTCTTGGACATTCCCCTCCTTCAATATCATTTTGCATTTATTGGTATATATGGGAGCTTTCGTTTTAAAACTAGAAGAAGAGGAAGAAATTTGGATGGGATGGAGAAAGTAGATAGAATGGATAAAAAATGGAGAGAATGATATTTTGTCTGATATTGTCTGAACCTCTATAATGGGTATGAACTTCTCTAGTTAACATATGAGAACAGGAAATTGATGGATCTTTATTTCATGAGAGGCTTAGACTAAATCTTGCAAAGACAGTTGCTGACAAAGACAAACTCTTTCTTACAGCCTTAGAGAGACTCTGGACTGTTGAGAGGGCAGCAAATCATAAGGACCTATTAGAGATAATTTATCGGGCTGCATGATATTAAGGAGGTCACGTGAAAATGGCTTCAGCGTGGTGTAGAGGATGTACCATATATCAGGAGACATGAATCCTGAACCCATACATACTCATATTTTTAAGTTGCAATTCAGAAAACTTAAGTTTCTGAATGAGAAACCTGTACTTTCCTTTTTCTCACCTTCCTACTCAGCTTTTCTCAGCCCTCAGGGTCTACTTAAAAGGCCTAGTGACTACAGTGGTTAATCCTACAAAATGTTTTTTTTAATAGAAAAAGGTGTTTATGAAAAAAAATCAATTATGCTATTTAAAACTTAATTATGCTCAGTACAGATATATTTTTTAATCTAAAAGGAGTGAAATTTTCCAATTTGAAGTGCTTATATGTTTGGGAATATGGGTGAAAACATACTGATTAAGATAAATGAATCCAAGATTCATACCCTTTTCTTGCAGTATTCATACTGACTTCTTGGGTAGAGCTCTATTTCTTGGTTCTTTACTCCCAGAAAACAGAAGGACATTTTAAAGAACATTATTATAGGGCAGAAGCCCTTTTTTCTTCTATAGCTAGAGGGGTTATATTGTAAATTAAAATGGATCTCTTTTTAGTAGATTTTACATGCTGTTATCATCCTTTACAAACTCAGCACCTGGAGACACATGTACAAATATATTAAATTAGAAGATTATCACTTTAATAAAAAGTTTCCACGAAGTTATTTATAGTGGCTGCTGTGGTATATCACCCAGAACCTTCTTCAGAGATCATTTCCCCAACTGTCAAAAGAGTTGTCAGGGACTGCTTGTAACTAATTCCATCCCCAAGGAGTGCTCTCAGCCAAAAGGATTTGCCTCCCCCAGGTTTATGCTCTCTTCCTTGGTGTAGCTCATGTATATTTACAGACTCATGTAGGTAATCAAACGCTTGGTTCCCTTGTGTTGTCTGGGGACAACTAAGAACCACTGCAGTTTTCGTAGTCTCCATGGAATTGGCTAAGCCTTTTGTTAAAACAGCTTTGCAGTTCTGTTTCTTTCTCTCTTCATTCCTATTACCGCACTCCTGTCCAGGTGTTAATCCCAAGCATATTAAAATTCTTTCATTCAAATCTGTGTTTAAGATTCTGCTCACGGGAAATGAAACCTGATCTAAGATAGTTGGTACAAGGAATTGTTTGGCCCAAGGAAACAGATCCTAAAAGAGATTTGGGAGCTTGGTCATCTCTGGCCCATTATGGGTGGTAGATGAAGTGCTGACATTCCCTGGTGTACTGTAGCAGGGCAGTTGTTAAAATGTTCACTAGTGGTAACTAGGATAACACATCAGTAAAAGGGAATGCCCTGATGAATGCAATAACTCAGATATTTGAGAGGCTCAGAAAAAGCCAGTAAATATAGGACAATGAAATTGGATGGCGGCTGCTGCTGAATGCTATCAATTTACTAGAGAAAGACAAAGAAAGGCTGATGTGATTAATCACGAGGTTAAAGCAAAATGTGAAAGCCAGAATATTCTCCTTGGCTGAATTAGAAGAGACTCTCATTTCTTAGAGTCAAATATAAAAAGCTGAGGGTCAGACCCAGGACTTAATTTAAAAGATAGAGAAGACTCTAGAGAAGATTGAATTATCGACCTCAGCAAATCTGCTATGCCAGAGTCAGGGTCCTGATTGAGAAGGGGTGCAGCCCGAAGGCTTGAGATGAGGAAAACTGGGTCAAAGCACTTGAAAAATTTTAATCTATATATTCCTCTGTATTATTAATGTATTCAAAAGTAGTCTACTCTTTCGTACTAAAGGTCAGTCCTTCCCCTTTCTTTGCAAACAATGCAGGCCTCTGTCTCATAAGACAATACACAACCCGGTCACTTAGGAGCCACTCTGCCTCCAGTCCTGATCAAAGACTTACAAGGGATAAGTTGCCATATAATCTAGCCACATATGTGCTGGGCCTACAAAGGGAGAAAAAGGACATCATGCTGAAGGAACTACATGACTTAGCTAACAGGTACTGGCAGGAACCATGTATGTATGTATGGTTCATGGCAAGCATTCTTTCATGATATGGGTAATATGCCCTGCAAGGATGACAGAGGATAGAACTAACATACTGCTAGGTGGGCTCTTGAAAGTTGAAAGTAAGTGATGGCTTTCACTAAGTGAGATACAAATGCCAAAACTAAGATGGCAGAGAGTGGAAGAAAGGATCAAAATACTCAAAGAAGTTGGCCTACAAGAGTTGATAGAACACATAGGGCTTGAAAACTTACCTGTGAGTATATTCTGCAAGGGTCTGGATGGAAAACATTTTGTTGTCCACAGCAGTAAGGTGAGAAGGACACATATGATTGTGAAGGTCAGCGGTGACTATACTCTGAGGATCAGGACCGATGGTAGAAGATATTGTTATATAATACAGAAAAGATGGCAGATTAGACATTGACATCCAGGACCTGAAGCATCCCTTATAAAATGGGAAATATAGAATCCTGAAATAGGTGGCAGTGCAGCAAGGTCACAGGAGCAGCCAGGGAGAGCTGACTCTCAGAGATATGTTGATATTTAATAGAACATGGCAGGCCTAGGGGAAAAAAAAAAAGCTGGACAGCTGACAAGGATATTGCTCATTTGTAAAAATCAAAGGAAGTCAAGGAGGGATTATCAGAAGGTCGAGGTTTGCTATCTCCCATGAAATATTACAGTTGTATTCCCCAGTTTCATGATCTGAGCCAGTTTTCAGTTCCAGACCCCACTGACTAAAAAGACTGGTTCCCCAGGAGGGAGGACTTTGCAAAACAAGAGCAAGCATATTGTGATATAACAATTCCCAGTTCTTATTCAAACAGACTTATATCATTTATCGTGAATAAACATAAACTGAGGAAAGGGGAATAGTTAGATATTTACAAAACAGTAGGGCATTGGAGGTTCAGATGATGTTATTACACAGGTACCTGCAATTTCACCATGTTCCCCCAGTTAAGCAGGAGCATATAGAGGCAGGTAATAAATGGATTCCTGTGTACGTTGATTACATGAACCCATTAGACATTTCTCTCATCACCAAATGCTTACTTACAATGCAAAGACTACATTTAATTCCACTGGCCTGTGGAATAAGAGCTATTGGAATGGAAAACATTAAGTAGAAGCCTCTGAAACTGTTTCTGAACCTGGCCAAGACAGTAAACCAAGAAAATTTTGCATAAAATTTGCTTAAAGTCAAAAAAGATGCAGGAATGATGGTTCTCATCATACCCCCAATTTAATTTGGTAGCCTTGCTTCAGCAACAGAAAATTCAGATGAATTCTGGAGGATGACAGTGGCCTACTACAAACTCAACCAAGTAGTAGCCCCAATTGTAGGAGCTATGCCAGATGTAATAAAATTTTAAAGGAAGACAGAATCAGAAGTAGCACCATGCCAAGCTAAAATGAAGCATGGGAAAAAATAAAAACTTAATGCCAATATTGTCCTTCTTAACAATTTTAATATTTTGCTCATCATGGATTTTTTGTCCTAATTTAACTTTTAAAAATATTTACCTTGTAATATTTATCTTGATTACTGAGTTTTTGATGTTCCCTCAAATCTTTGTATCTGACGCAAGTGTCTTACTGACCTCATATTAGTCCTGGCTCTGTATATCATGGTCTCAGGAACTTGGTAAACAGCCAGTGTTCTGTCGAATGCATTATTTCCCATCACTAAAAATATGGATAACCAGAAAAAGTGAATATTCACATGTGATGGACACAAATATACATTTGCAGTGCTATCCTAGGGATATAATTCTTCTACCCTATGTCATACATGTAGTCTACAGTAAACTAAACTATTTGAACATATAATATTACATTGGTCTACTATTTTAATGGCATTGTATTGAGTGGACTAGATGAGGTAGAAACATGTATGTTGGTGGCCTTGTTAAGACACATGTAGTCCAGAGGATGGGAAATTATGGCATTCCCTATAAACTCTATGAAGCTTCACGGACATGCTACATCAATAAGCTGTGTGGTCTAGTATATGCCAGATCATCTCCACAGTAAAGGACAGTTTGTGTGTCTTTCATCTCCCACCACTAAGAAGGAAACATGATTCCTGGTAAACAAGTAACATGGAAAACCAACATCTTTGAGTTGGACACAGAATAAGAAGGGACTCTTCAGAAGGTTCTGGTTTTGACACAGTAGCTGTGCCACATAGACCTCTTGTTTGAAGACAACAAAGCAGACTGTATAATATTAGAGATGTCGGCGGTAGGCAAAAATCACCATGGGGAGTTATGGCATGACCCAAATGGTGAATTGTAATGTGGACTCTTTAGTGTTCTGGAGCAAGGCTATGCCATCTGCAATGAAAAATCATGTTCTATTAGACAAGCAGCCATGGCATGCTAGGGGTCTTGATAGAGACAGGCCACCTAAATGGACATCGAGTAACCATGCAGAGCTGGATTCTGCCAAACTAATGTAGTCATAGGTTGCTGAGGCCCAGTAGCAATTAATCATGCCAGCATCAGGCATGAACAGGGCCAGAGGGCACAACTAAGCAACACAAGCAGGTGGCTCAGACTCCATGTCATCTACCATTGTCGCCTTGGCACATCTCACTTAGCACTTAACATTCACCTGCTGTGTATGGGGAATTTGTTATGAATAGCTGATGGAGGAAGAAAAAGGCTAAGCTTAAGTTATAGATGGATTGGCTTAGTATGCCAGACAGACATAAATGTACTGTGCTACAGATCAACACATGGGGTGGGCCTGAAGAGAGAGGTGAGGAGAAATCTTCCCAATGGGTATAACTTTGAGGAGTACATATGTGGGAGAAAAGTGGCCTGAGGTTAGAATATATATGGGCTCACGAACAGTGATGGATGAGTCAGACAATTAATCAGGAGTTTGGAAGGAGAATGATTTTAGGATTGGAAAAAATATTTTTGAGGACAAGGTATATAGATGGACATATAGGAGTGGGCACGAAGTGCAAAACAACAAACAAAGCAAAATGTGTAATGCGTGATAATTCTCCCCATGGATGATCCATCACATAAGAAGCACTAAGCAATCAAGAATACAAGCTGGTTGGGATCATCCAGGCTCTGTCATCAGTCACCCAGTTTTGGTAAAATGGAACCATAAATGGAATAACCATGGGTGGCAGATATATTGTTCATGAATGGGATCAATAGGATGGGTTCCTATTCAGTAACTGATCTAGTTACTGCTGCTCCCAAATGTACAAGCTGACAGCAACAGTGCACAATGCAGAGACCTTTCCTCAAGGGGCCCAGCAAGCTATTTGGTGGGAAAGTGATTCCATCAAATCCTTAATATGCTAGAAAGGGGAGCAATTTATCTTGACTTCTGTTGACACATACTCCATATTTGTGGATTTATGTTGTCTACAGGACCATATTCACCCCCACTATTCAAGGGCTTATAGATTATTTGTTTCACCAACAGAGAATTCTCTATAACATTGTTTTGAATCAAGGGACACACTTTATGGCACACAGAGTGTGACTGTTGACATATATCTACTTGGTCATTGGTCTTATAAACTGTACCACGCAAACTTTTGCAGCCTGGCTGCTTATTCAAAAAGGATTCATGCATCTCAGAATCAAGGAATGGTATCATTTAACCTTATCCCAATAACCCAGTTGAGGAATTTGTGTTTCTCATCCCCACAACTTTTGACTTTGTGGGTCTAGAGGTCCAGATTCTCAATGGGAGAATCCTTCCACTAGGCTGTGCGGCAAGTGTCCCATTATACTTTAAGCTGTGGCTGCTGCCTGCTGGTTTTGGAGTTCTTTTACCAAGAGACTAGCAAGCGTGAAAAGAGATACTCCCCTGGTAGGGAAGTTGATGTACATCACCAAGGAGACGTAAAGTTGGTGGCTATACAATGGGTGCAGTAGAGATGGATGTATTTCAGATCCAGGAGATACAGTAGTTAATCTCTTGGTAATCTCTTGTCCAATTGTGAGAACAAATGGACAACTGCGTCAGCCACTGTCTGAGCAAGCAAAGGACTAGAGACTTTTTCACCTCAGGGATGAGGGGCTAGGTCACTAAGTAAGCCACTCTTTTTTTTTGAGACAAAGTCTCGCTTTGTTGCCAGGCTGGAGTGCAGTGGTGCGATCTCAGCTCACTGCAACCTCAGACTCCCAGGTTCAAGCGATTCTCTTGCCTCAGTCTCCTGAGTAGCTGGGATTACAGGCTCATGCCACCACGCCTGGCTATTTTTTTTTTTTTTTTTTTTTTTTTACTTTTAGTAGAGACGGGGTTTTGCAACGTTGGCCAGGCTGGGCTCAAACTCCTGTCCTCCGGTGATCTGCCTGCCTTGGCCTCCCAAAGTGCTGGGATTACAGGCGTGAAGTAAGCCATTTTTGTCAGCAGAAATGAATCTGGAATGAGTAGTAAAGGAGGAAAATAATATCAGCTGCGGCCTCCTGACTAGCTATAGCAGCAGAAGCTGTTTTGTTAGAAAAAGAAACAAGCTTGAAACCTGGAGGAGCTGTTCTCGGATGAAGTGAATTTATTACCTTAAGTAAGTAGATCCAAATGGCACAAAGAGTGGACAGTAGTGAACCCTGTGTTGCGTTGCCAAATTCTTCTTTAGGACTGAAACTTTTATTACCCCAGCTGCCAGGAAGCTTGGCTGCTGAAGACCCACAGATGAATCTTTCCCCAAAACGTGCCCTCAGTTTGAGTCCACTGATTGGTTGATGTGGCAGTAAAGAGCCTAGTGTCCTTGCTTTAACTGGGGACAACTCTGAAGGGGCACCAAAGCTCCCTAGCACCCCATTGGATTGGCTGAGTGTTTGCTGCAACTGCCACTGCTTCCTATGCCCAACCTGAGTCCCCTCAAACACTGACAGATGTTGTTCTGGGAGCACCCCCCAATACACTTCCTGCATGCAGATCTCAGATGCTCAGTCTATTGTCTGGAGAAGCTGACCTAGACAGGATTCCTTCAAATCACCAGGATTCATTTAATGTAAATAACTTTAAAGGAGTTTTGCACCAAAATTTTAAAAAGTAAATCTGTTGCATAAACATATTTTTCTCCTTGTTCATTTTCTTATTTTAGTTGCTTCTTCATTACTTTTAATTTGTGTTTCTCTTTATTTTGCTTTTTCCAACTTCAGTTAATATCATGGAAAAAATAAAGGTTAGGAAGATTGGTTTTTTTCTTGGCCTTACTACTAACCAATCCTCTGAACTTGGATGAATTAAGTTTTTCTGGGTAAGAGTTGATTCATTTGTTAATTGAGGGGATTATACCAGGCGATTGATCTTGAAAACATCTTGCAACTGTGAAAGTTAAATATTTTCCTTTCATCAAGCTTTCGTATTTGAAATCACATTGCAATTTGGGTTATAGAATTGCTGAAAGTGAGGGAAAACTAATGAAGAAATGTTTAAATCTTATAGGATAAGGTCCTAGTCATCCTAAAAATAGGTGCAAGTTTCATGAACATGGTTTGATAATGCTGAGATGATGCTAATGAGACAAAGAGAAGCTTCCCCATGGCAGATGACTTGCAACAAACAGACCATGTAACACCGATGCAAATAATTCATTACATTCTTCAAGCATCTGCAGGATTTGTGACTTAAGAATTTGTAGACATGATTGAATTCATGATTCCTTCATTCAGCAATTATTCATTGAGTGCCTATTTTGTGCCCAGACTATACTAGGCCCTGGGGATACAGAGATTAATAAGATAAGATCCCAGTTCTTGAACAGCTCAGTCTAGTGGGAAAAGCAGGCATATACACAAATATTACAGTGCATAAGATCTGCTATAATAGAGGATAAGCAGAATGTTGCTGATGGATTTTGTAATGATCTTATGCGGACAGGATGCTTTTCTTCTATAAGGATTTACTGTCAATCAGTTTGAGTGTGTCTGCATTTTAATAAAGGCGATCTGATCACTCTACCCTAAGTCAGCAAGGCACCCCCTTGAAACCAACAATTGTCGTTATTCACATCAGCTCTGCAGTTCTACTGGGACATCATAAGCCCCTTCTTTTTATAGCAGACCTTCTCCAGCTTCTATTTTAACTTAAATATCACACAAACAATTCTTTCTGAGGAAAAGCAGGGGAAAGATGACTAATTGAAAATAGCATTTCTTAGACTAGAATTATGATTCCAGGCTGGGTACCTCCCAAGCAGCTCAAAGTGACGAAGGGAAAGGTTGCTGAAGTAAAAGGAAAGACAGAACTATGGAAAAAGAAAGACTATAAAGAAAATGAGGGATTATTTTACGGCTAGAGATAAGTAATGTGTCGTATAAGTTGTCAGTTTACACAACACCCTGCATTTTCTCCTTCCTCTTTTTAAACCAGTGCACAATGTTGTGCTCACTGATAGCTAAAAAGCAGAAGCTGCCTGAAGTCAATAGTTTTTTTCTACCATTTCCTAAATTCTGACCTCACTGGTGAGCTCATGCTAGTGACTTGAACTGGTGGTAGTTGATAGGTCTGTATCCCTGTAAAAAAGGAGCTTCTGGCAAACTGAGGAGTGACTTTGAGAAGGAGGGAAGGGAGCTCATCCTAGACCGTAGGGTAATAGAGGTCTGTGTGTCTTAGAGTAGCAAAAAACCATGATATGTCTTTTGAACTGGGACAATTTTATGAGTTAAACCTGATACAAAAACATAATTAAAATTAATTCATGGTTTGAAACATTTATTAATGGAGTAACCAACTGGCTTTGTAATATTGTTTGGCCCCTCAAATAGTGTCATTCAGTAATTTTTTTCATATCTAAAAATCTTTCTAAAAATTAAAAATAATATATATCATGTATATTAAAGTCAACTTAAAATATTCTTATATTGATTGTCTTCATATAAAAAATTAAAGTATGCAGAATAGTTGTTCTTGTTATATACTCATACACTTAAATCCATTTCTATCTCTAATCCTGAGTAACTGGCATTTTTCTGAAAATACATTTTAACTGACTTATTATTAATTCCTTATAAGATCTCCTGTAGTCATAAATTCAAGTGACCTTTCTATGTACTGTAATTCATTCAACTGAAGAAATACTCTTTCTACAGGTACTGAAGTACATGCAAGTTTAGAGAGAGTTCTGCTAAATGGAGGCTATTACCAATTCTAATTCTTTCCATTTTGGAATTTATAATTTTTCAGAACAAATATTTTCACAGGCTGTCTTTCTGCCTCCATTCAAAAGCCTTTTCTTTCAAAGTATATTTTTTAAAGATAGGATGTGTCATATTAAGTTTCCACTGTTTGTAATTCATCTAAATGTTTTGTTAAATTCACATCTATAATATCTTAGGCAATCTGAATTTTATTCC